>NC_000004.12:117254714-117406229 GCF_000001405.40 Homo sapiens
CTCACCCCAATAACTGTTGTGGGTATTGACAGCCAAGCTTCAAAACCCCTGAAAACTCCCCCACTCTGGTGCCAACTTGGACAACACTCTTTTATGCACTCTTTTTTAGTTATCCCCACCTGCCCAGTTCCCTTATTAGGCTGAGATATTTTAACCAAATTAGCTGCTTCCCTGACTATTCCTAGGCTACAGCCACACCTCATTGCCACCTTTTCCCCAGTTCAAAGCCTCCTTCGCATCCTCCTCTTGTATCCCCCCACCTTAACCCACAAGTATAAGATACCTCTATTCCCTCCTTGGCGACTGATCACGCAGTGCTTACAATCTCATGAAAACCTAATCACCCTTACCCCCCTCAATGCCAATATCCCATCCCACAGCACACTTTAAAAAGATTAAAGCCTGTTATCACTCACCTGCTACAGCATGGTCTTTTAAAGCCTATAAACTCTCCTTACCATTCCCCCATTTTACCTGTCCTAAAACCAGACAAGGCTTACAGGTTAGTTCAGAATCTGTGCCTTATCAACCAAATTGTTTTGCCTATCCACCCCGTAGTGCCAAACCCGTATACTCTCCTATCCTCAATACCTCCCCTCTACAACCCATTATTCTGTTCTGGATCTCAAACATGCTTTCTTTACTATTCGTTTGCACCCTTCATCCCAGCCTCTCTTCGCTTTCACTTAGACTGACCCTGACATCCATTAGGCTCAGCAAATTACCTGGGCTGTGCTGCCGCAAGCCTTCACAGACAGACCCCATTACTTCAGTCAAGCCCAAATTTCATCCTCATCTGTTACCTATCTCAGCATAATTCTCATAAAAACACATGTGCTCTCCCTGCTGATCGTGTCCAATTAATCTCCCAAACCTCAATCCCTTATAAAACAACTCCTTTCCTTCCTAGGCATGGCTAGTGCAGTCAGAATTCTTACACAAGAGCCAGGACCGCACCCTATAGCCTTTCTGTCCAAATAACTTAACCTTACTGTTTTAGCCTAGCCCTCATGTCTGCGTGCAGCAGCTGCTGCTGTTTTAATACTTTTAGAGGCCCTAAAAATCACATACTATGCTCAACTCATTCTCTACATTTCTCATAACTTCCAAAATCTATTTTCTTCCTCATACCTGACACATATACTTTCTGCTCCCCGGCTCCTTCAGCTGTACTCACTCTTTTTTAAGTCCCACAATTACCATTGTTCCTGGCCCAGACTTCAATCTGGCCCCCTGCATTATTCTTGATACCACACCTGACCCCCTTGACTGTATCTCTCTGATCCACCTGACATTCACCCCATTTCCCCATATTTCCTTCTTTCCTGTTCCTCACCCTGATCATGCTTGATTTATTGATGGCAGTTCCACTAGGCCTAATTGCCACACACCAGCAAAGGCAGGCTATGCTATAGTACAAGCCACTAGCCCGCCTCTTAGAACCTCTCATTTCCTTTCCATCATGGAAATCTATCCTCAAGGAAATAACTTCTCAGTGTTCCATCTGCTATTCTACTACTCCTCAGGGATTATTCAGGCCCCCTCCCTTCCCTACACATCAAGCTCAAGGATTTGCCCCCACCCAGGACTGGCAAATTAGCTTTACTCAACATGCCCCAAGTCAGAGAACTAAAATACCTCTTAGTCTAGGTAGACACTTTCACTGGATAAGTAGAGGCCTTTCCTGCAGGGTCTGAGAAGGCCACCACAGCCATTTCTTCCCTTCTGTCAGACATAATTCCTCAGTTTAGCCTTCCCACCTCTATACAGTCTGATAACAGACCAGCCTTTATAGTCAAATCAGCCAAGCAGTTTTTCAGGCTCTTAGTATTCAGTGAAACCTTTATATCCCTTACGGTCCTCCGTCTTCAGGAAAAGTAGAATGGACTAAAGGTCTTTTAAAAACACACCTCACCGAGCTCAGCCACCAACTTAAAAAGGACTGGACAATACTTTTACGACTTTCCCTTCTCAGAAGTCAGACCTGTCCACAGAATGCTACAAGGTACAGCCCATTTGAGCTCCTGTATAGACGCTCCTTTTTATTAGGCCCCAGTCTCATTCCAGACACCAGACCTACTTAGACTGTGCCCCCAAAAAACTTGTCATCCCTACTATCTTCTGTCTAGTCATACTCCTATTCACCATTCTCAACTACTCATACATGCCCTGCTCTTGTTTACACTGCCGGTTTACACTGTTTCTCCAAGCCATCACAGCTGATATCTCCTGGTGCTATCCCCAAACTGCCACTCTTAACTCTTGAACTAAATAAATAATCTTCACTGGCAGGACTATGCTGAATCTCCTTAGGCACTCTCTAATCAGACATCCTGAGTCATCCCAATTCTTAGACCTTTTATACCTGTTTTTCTCCTTCTCTTATTCCGTTTAGTTTTTCAATTCATAGAAAACTGCATCCAGGCCATCACTAATAATTCTAAATGACAAATGTTCCTTCTAACAACCCCACAATATCACCCCTTACCACAAAATCTTCCTTCAGCTTAATCTCTCCCACTCTAGGTTCCCACGCTGCCCCTAATCCCACTTGAAGCAGCCCTTAGAAACATCGCCCATTATCTCTCCGTACCACCCCCAAAAATTTTCACCATCCCAACACTTTACCACTATTTCATTTTATTTTTCTTATTAATATAAGAAGACAGGAATGTCAGGCCTCTGAGCCCAAGCTAAGCCATCATATCCCCTGTGACCTGCATGTACACATCCAGATGGCCAGTTCCTGCCTTAACTGCTGACATTCTACCACAAAAGAAGTGAAAATGGCCTGTTCTTGCCTTAACTGATGACATTGTCTTGTGAAATTCCTTCTCCTGGCTCATCCTGGCTCAAAAGCTCCCCCACTGAGTACCTTGTGACCCTCACTCCTGCCTGCCAGAGAACAACCCCCCTTTTTCCTTTACCTACCCAAATCCTACAAAACGGCCCCACCCCTATCTCCCTTCGCTGACTTTCTTTTCAGACTCAGCCTGCCTGCACCCAGGTAAGATAAACAGCCATGTTACTCACACAAAGCCTGTTTTGTGGTCTCTTCACAGGGACGCACATGAAACTGGGAAGGCATGATTGGTTTTGAAATGTGAAGATATGAGATTTGGGAAGGGCCAGGGGCAAAATTACATGGTTTGGCCAGGTCCCCACCCAAATCTCATCTTGTAGCTCCCATAATTCACACCTATTGTGGGAGGGACCATATAGAGATGATTGAATCATGGAGGTGGGTCTTTCCCATGCTGTTCTTGTGATAGTGAATGGGTCTCATGAGATATGGTGGTTTTAAAAATGGGAGTTTCTCTGCACAAGCTTTATTTATTTATTTATTTATTTATTTATTTATTTATTTTGCCTGCTGCCATCCACGTAAGATGTGACTTGATCCTCCTTGCTTTCCATCATGATTATGAGCCCTCCCCAGCCACATCAAACTGTAAGTTCAATCAAACCTCTTTCTTTTCTAAATTGCCCAGTCTTGGGTATGTCTTTATCAGCAGTGTGAAAACAGACTAATATAGTACACCTTTTTGCTTGGTTGAGATGACAACTCTCTCTTTAAAATTGTTTCAACTCTTGCAACTTTCTCCAGTTCCAACTTTGTTTTTTCTCCAGTTCCAACTTTGCTGTTAGGACTGTTAGGACCTGACATTAAAATGTTTGTCTTGAAGGCCTAGAAAAGCAATGATTTCCTGGAGTATAATTTGATTCTATACATTTGGCTTTTCTTGATTTGTCTAAATTTTTTAATGTAACTAGGCAATTTCATGTGCTTTTACATTTTTATGAGCCATATACTCTCCTGCTTACAGTACAGGTTTTCTTGCTTATTTCCTCTATAATATGGTATGCATTCTTAATCTTAACCACACATTCTTCTTAGGTATGATTGCATTCAAATACCTTTTCATCAGATTTGACTTCCAGGTTATTTAAATGAGCTTCCCCAGAAGAGAAGCAATAGCATTGCAAGAGGTCTTTTACTTTACCTTTTGGTAACTGTCCTATAAAACAATAATTTTCCACTTTATTGAGATAATTTGTTCTATTTCAAGCTTTCTTTATTAGGTGTTTGATAACTTAGAAAAACTAAACTTTGAAAAGATTAGGTTTCATTGTTTTTCTTCATCCATTTAACTTACTGTACTGCCATTGCAGCTTTTAATTGTCATTCTAATTAAGTGAATGACTATTATTTTAAACAACATGTGAGTCTCTTTTCTTCAGGTGTTTTCAACCTTTTTACATCTTAGATAGGGTTCTCCAATATTAAAGTTCTAAATTAAGGTTTTGTTTGTTTTGTTTTGTTTTTCTGTTAGCTCATTTGCATTGCTATAAAGGAATACCTGAGGCTTGACAATTTATAAAGAAGGAAGTTCATTTTGGCTCATGGTTCTGCAGAATGTACAAGAAGGGCAATGCCAGCATCTGCTTCTGGCAAGAGCCACAGCAAGCTTACAATCATGGCAGAAGGCAAAAGAGGAGCAGATATAGCACATGGTGAGAGAAGGAGCAAGAGAAATGCCAGGCACTTTTAAACATTCAGATCTTGAATAAACTCATAGAGTGAGAACTCACTCATACTGCAAAGACAGCACCAAGACATTCATGAGAAATTCACCTCCATGATTCAGACACTTCCCTTTCAGTGCCACCTCCAACCTTGGAGGTCACATTTCAACATGATATTTGGAGGGAACAAACATCCAAATCATATCATTGACCTAGAATGAACTTTGAGATTTTCCAGTTGAGCCTCTGAAGAGCCTCAAAGAATGTATATCTCATTTAGTAAAGATATTAACTGATCAATCTTATTTGGTAATTAGTATGGGAAACAATGTTAAATAATAAACTGATGCTAAATCTTCTTTAAGGTTATATTTGTATACATATCTTATTAATGTGAGCATTCTAAAGATTATACGAAATTTATAAAGGTCTAATGGTCCTGATGTTACACTATAATGATTCTGATTATTATCTTAAAATGTTGTATGGAATAGAAATAACTAAATTTCCTTAATTACATTTCCTCTAGTCAGATTTTAAATCATAGCTAATCTAAAATTTTATCATCCATGGTAATTGTTTTTATTTTTTCTAAAAACTTTTGCAATAAGCTATTGTCCAAAATTGTTTCCCATGGAAAATACTCAACCAAGTACTCTAAAATACAGGTTTCTAGTACCTTTAAGATCAATGGAGTAAATAAAATTTTCCAGAACTCTAATGAAGAAACTGATGAATTCATGAAACTACTAATCAAGATCAAGCAAGCCAAATAATTAATTACATGAGATTGAATACCTAGTAAAACTAATTTTAATGACTTTTATTTGAAAAATTGTTGGATTCTTTACCTAAATGTTTTGTTTTCCAGATCTTTTTCTCTTAAGCTATCTATTGTTTACAGTAATTTAATAAAGCATACTTTGTGAACAATATTGAAGTATTTACTTTTTTTCCCATTTGATCCCTTCAAAATTCAGATACTATTTTGAGAGTGTTCTTATTTTTATGATGATATGATTATTTGCATAAGTTTAATAAGAATTTCTCCTTTCTTTATAAGAGGATTTAATTGGAAATATCTCTTGTATTACCAGTACTTGACTGGAAGATCATATTTGAGAATTTACATAGAATGTCTGGCTTCAAGGGTTCCCCGCCTTACGGTGAATGAGTAAAATCTGTTACTTTCTGGCAAGCCCAGGAACTTCAAGACTGTAAGTGAATGTTAATGCCTGACTTGCTATAGCTTTGTAGCATTGAAAAGATTTTAGGTCTGAAATTCTTATATAGCCATTTGCTATTCTTGTTGAGCTTACGTAAATAATCAGAGAAAATTTGATGAAACTAAACTTATTTTACAAACAAATTTGTCTTACTCTGATTATCTTTGGTAGAAATCAGGGTAACTAAAGAGAGAAAAACTCATGTTTCTAACAAAAAAACTAGAGCATACCTGTTGTTAGTTTGTAGCCTTGTGCATTGTTTTTAAGTTTTCGTTATCTACCTAAAGACTGGACTGGACCCTAAAGTTTCTACGTTTCTCCAATTCAACCTTCTTTTATGGAATTACTTAAAACAGGAATTGTTCTGTTCCTGAAGACCTGTAAACTAAAACAAAATAAATTTTAAGGAGCAAGTCTCATGCCTGATAGATGAGCCATGCAGAAAGTTCCCCAGACTGCCCAGTGCCGTGACCAGAGATGTTCAGACTGCAAAAGAGGAGAAAGTTGGCAGCTTTATGCTGTGGTTGATTTTTCTCAAGATAATGGAACAAGACTCCTCATCATAATGAGACTCTTGCTCCTTTTAATTTTTACGTTCTTATGCTTTCCTTTTTTACCTGTCGTGATAATGGTATAATTGAAATTTCACAATCAGTAGCTTCTGCTGGTAACCTCACAGAACATCACCTAAGAGATCTTTTAGTCTCCCTGGGGGTTATTTTGGTAATATCCCTAATATAACTGTTGCTTACTTTCTCCTTTAATTCAACTTAGCCATAAAACACTGGATGATAAAATTTCCCTAGGTTTGTTGGTTAATTAGAAAATGTCTATGCTATAGCTAATATACATACTATCTACGCTATTGCTAATATACATACTGTAATATACATACATAAATTAGAAAATGTCTATGCTATTGCTAATATAATACTGTCTATGCTATTGCTAATATACATACTGAATAATAAAATTTCCCTAGATTTGTTGGTTAAATTAGAAAATGTCTATGCTATTGCTAATATCCATACATACACAGAAGTATGTATGGAATACATATGAATACATATGTATTCATATGTATTCCATACATACTTATGGAACAGTCAAAATTGAACTTAGCAGTGGATTCCAGGTAGACTTAGTCTTAGAACCACTCTGTACAAACCTTCCTTATTGCTCAAATGTAACTATGAGGATTTTGACACTAATTCCTGGTCACCAATCACCTCCATTCAACTTGGGACCAGGACAGACCAATCTGAGACAGGTATATGCTGACACCAGAGAATAATCAAAATCTAACTACAGGATGATTGATCAGTGATACTTTTGAAAAAATATCTTAATCAAAAGGGGGAAAAGTGAAAGATGTTAGAATAAAAATTGAGTCATTTGTGTAAAAACCCTGACAAAGGGATCCAAGAAAGGTCATGAAGGAAGGAACACAAACATGCATCTATGCCTAATCACAAAAAAAAATCACAAAAGACTGAAAAAAACCCACAACTTTGCACATAAGTCACCACAAGCTTACAAAAAGTTACTTCTATGAGGACATCTGCCCAGCAATCAATTGCCTGTCCAACCTTGAACTGACATCACCCTTGTTATTGATCCTTGTAGCCAAGAATAATTATCCCAAAATAAATATGTAATTCTCCTCATTTTGCCTTTAAAAATTTCTCCTGGTCTTAATTGCTTTAAATACGCACACAGTTTATTATACCATGCATATTTCCATTGCAATGCTACTCCCAAATAGGTATCATTTTCTTTCAGAGTCTCTCCTTCTCTTCCTGTTGTTTAGGTTTTTGACACCATATAATACAACCATGCAGTGATCCTGATAGAATTTTAGAGCCCATATTACCCATGCACATACACTATTAGCCTCTGTAATTTAGAGAGGGTGGTCCATCAGGCTAGCATTGCAAAAGAATGGAGAGCTACAGAGAAACATTTCATAGTTTAACTTCTCTTACCTGACTGTTGTGTGGCCACAGAGCTTCAACTAGTCTGTTCAGTTCAGGAGCTCCCAGACATACTGCCCAAATCATGAAAAGTATAACTAAAACCAAAATCTTCTCCCAATCGAGAAAAGTCTCCAAAAAGATAGAAGCAAAAAATTAATTGAATAAAAATTAAATCAGAATGTGATGCACATTACAGGCAATCTGGTAAAAGACTGCAAAGACAGAAAGGGATCTCACACTTTTATATAGCTAAGCAGATACAAATGATTACATACATATTCTGAAGATAAACAATAACTAGTCCAAAGTATGAGGACTTGAAAACACCATTTGTCACACATAGTTCATCCTAAATTTATTTGGTAATTGAGGTGACCATCTGTGTTAACTAATTAGATTTATCCAAAGGAAAAATAAACTTCTCAGATGTTTATAAAAAGAAACAGTTTTGGAGCTTGAAGGGATGTGTCCACTGAAGTTAGTCTCCTACCCTAGACAGAAATTAGGACATAGGAATGATATCTTCCTTGATGATTGTAATTCAAAGAGGTGGCCCTTAGGTCATAGAAAAAGGCATTCCTGGGTTGTATAATTGATAGGAAGCTTTTGAAAATATTTACACTCAAAAGGGCAGAGAAAGAATGGACAACTACAAAGTAAAACCTATAAAAATGGAGGAAAGGACCTCTGTGGGTGGGTCATGTCGATTTTGTAAGGACTTGGGTGAGAGAGAAGTCAGGAGCCTAAAGGCAAGAAAAAGCCTATCTAAGGTTTAGTCAAGAGAAATAGAACCCTAAAGCCCTCTTGGTCTCTTGACCAAGGCCCTCTTGGGTACAGGAACCTTTGTAGGTTAGCATCCTTTGCATGTAAGCTACAATTATTTCTGAGGTTTTGTACCTAAGTCAATTTTATAGAAGCAAAATATTTTTATCCCAATTTTCAAAGCTCTCTCAAAACTATTATAATGTTGTTGTAAATGTAAACCTAATAGCACAATCTTCCCTTACTTTAGTTTTTGGTGACACAATTTCCTGGGCAATCTGCCTTTAAGAAAGGCAAGAGAGAAATCAGTCAGATTGACTATGTCGTCATCTATACACTAAAGATTTGTACCCAAAGACAGTGTCACAATTTCAAAGCTGGAATGAAGAATCAAAAGTCAAAAACCATGAAAATCTATCTAGGTGCTGTTTCATAGACTGGGTCTATCTGTTATTAAGATATTTTTCTGGCTTTTTGTCCTAAATGCCTTTTTAAATGTTGTCACTATGTACCATCAAAATGTATTGTGTTCTATGGTTGAAAACAATTCAGTTAAGATTTGACCTAAGTTTACTTGGGTAATAAAAAGATGTAGAGCTAAAATAAGATTTTTATTTCTAAAATGTTTAAATAAATTTTTTTAAAATATATTTTTATTTTGTTGACCTAGTCATTTTTAGAACAACTTCAAAGTCCTTCATTCCTGATTGAGTTTTCTTTTAAAATGTTTGAAATTCCCCCAAACCCCAAATACCTCTAGATATTTATATATACGGACAGTTGTAAAAGAATTTTATTTAAATATTTATACTGCTACTTTGAATATACGACGTAATGTCTCAGAGATTTAGCTCCTCACTTTTAAATGTGAAATTATAATGCCTGCCTTAACTCATTCGCGCATAAGTTGTGAACATAAGTAAAATAATGAAGGTACAGGAATCTTGAAAATCATAATTCTTTATTTCTTAAGGAATGTAGATTTTTCTCAGGTTTATTCTCCTTAGCTAGAATCATTATCAAGAAAACATGATATTTTCCTTTTGGTTAATTGTTTTGCAAAATATGCTGACTATTACATTGATGGTTTGATTAAACCTGTTAAAGTAATACAGCAAAAAAATAATATTAGTAAAATTTAAAATTCATGAGGTGGATCATATGTCTTGAGCTTTCTAAGAAAGTAAATTGGAGTCTCACAAAATGTTATTGAATAAAGAACTTAACATGTAAATATTGAGGAATCTGCCCCGATATTCACATAGGTTCGTTTCTATTTCCCTAAGCGTTGGCCGGCTTGAGAAATAAAGGGACAGAGTACAAAACAGAGAAATTTTAAAGCTGGGCATCCGGGGGAGACATCACATGTTGGTAGGTTCCATGATGCCCCCCAAGCCACAAAAACCAGCAAGTTTTTATTAGAGATTTTCAAAAAGGGAGGGAGTGTGCGAATAGGTGTGGGTGATAGACATCAAGTACTTAACAGGGTAATAGAATATCACAAGGCAAGTGGAGGCAGGGTGAGATCACAGGACCACAGGACCAGGGCGAAATTAAAATTGCTAATGAAGTTTCGGGCACCATTGTCATTGATAACATCTTATCAGGAGACAGGGTTTTGAGATCAACCGGTCTGACCAAAATTTATTAGGCAGGAATTTCCTCTTCCTAATAAGCCTGGGAGCGCTATGGGAGACTGGAGTCTATTTCATGTCTGCAGCCTCAACCATAAGAGACAGGCGCACCTTGCGGGGGCTGTTTATAAGCCTATACCTCCAGGCGCGTATTCTCTTTTTCAGGGATGTTCCATGCTGAGAAAAAGAATTCAGTGATATTTCTCCCATTTGCTTTTGAAAGAAGAGAAATATGGCTCTGTTCTGCCTGGCTCACCAGTGGTCAGAATTTAAGGTTATCTGTCTTATTCCCTGAACATTGTTGTTATCTTGTTCTTTTTTCAAGGTGCCCAGATTTCATATTGTTTAAACACACATGCTGTACAATTTGTGCAGTTAATGCAATTATTAATAGGTCCTGAGGCGACATACATCCTCCTCAGCTGACAGGATTAAGAGATTAAAGTAAAGACAGGCATAGAAAATCACAAGGGTATTGATTGGGGAAGTGATAAGTGTCCATGAAATCTTTACAATTTATGTTTAGAGACTGCAGTAAAGACAGGCATAAGAAATAACAAAAGTATTAATTTGGGGGAACTAATAAATGTCCATAATATCTTCACAATCCACGTTCTTCTGCCATGGCTTCAGTCAGTCCCTCCGTTTGGGGTCCCTGATTTCCCACAACATGTAAATAATTAGACAATTCCAAGGAACTACAATCTACCATGCTTCACATACCTAGACTAAAGGAGGTTTTACAAAATTATCTATAAATATTTCTGCTCAATTAAAAAGTGTGAACTCAGAATACCAATCATGCTTCCCCTTGTGTCAGGTCCCTTAGAATTTATAAAATCTTAGAAGATTACTAATAGTGAAATTGTACTTAATTTTTCCAGGCTTCTATAGGCCAAGAAGCATTTATCATCACTTAGATGTTTGACATTTTAGATGGAATTTCACGTTACATTTTGATATCGACTATTTCTCAAGTAAGAGAAGTAAAAATAGTTCAAAAAATTTTAAATAGTATTTTTTCAATCCAAAATACTTTATAAATAGCAATGCAATTTCTCAATGGAAGTGAAATTATGGAAGACTTCTTTAGTCCATAGATTCAGTATTATTATCTTAAAAATGAGACATTTAGGAATGTACTTCTAACTAAGAACACCTAAAGTGGGCTAAGGATTGTGGGAGAAAATATTGCCCTCAGCTTTAGCTGTGTTTCAACTAAAATGCTTGAAAACATAGGTTCCCTTAAACATGGAATTAAGTCAAGTGTTCTGTAAGATCCAGAAATTGGAATTGTCAAAATGTTCTAAGTGCAGAATTATGAAAAAATCATATTTTTTTCCTGACGGAACTGTAAGACTTCCTGTAGTTTTTAACTTCTGTCAACAGAATTATTTTTAGATTCAAAGTATTTCAAGACATGTTTTGACATTTTTTAAACAATTATAGATACGCAAAATCTGAATGCCACTGTAGCCAAATAAATTCAAATATTACAAGTAGTTAGAACTACTATTTAACAGGTCATTTATTATCCATGCAGGAATCCCTTATTATTTTCACATATGTCATTTCTGGTTACAGTTATAAAAAAGTCACCATACAGTCATTTTTTCTCACATTTTGTGATAATGATGTGTTATTTTGCTTTCCTAAAGCGTTTACATTTTGAATGGCCTTCTATAAGGTACCAATTATGTTACCTTTTTTGCACCCTACTTATTTCATTCTGCAGCCTACTCCCACTCCCACTCAATAATTGCCTTGTCTCACCAGTTTTGGCATTAAAAATTTGGTGGTGAAATTTTTCCTAGCTGCTCATATATCGTGAGAAAATTTTCACCACCCAACTTTATCTTTTATTGATTGCTGCCAGCAACAACTACAAAGGACTATTTTAACCTTTCGCTTTCCTTACTTTTATCCCTCTTTTCCATATTTCTCTTTCTTTTAAGTTTTTTTTCCCTTTTCAAAATAATTCAAAAATACAGCTCTATGTATTCAGCTTGTAAAATCATATTCAAACTAGCCAATCCTGGTTGAGAAAAAAAAATAATAATAATAGCAAGTATCGTGGCTGTTACCGAAGTTACCCCAATGAATTTCCCAGTGTTCGTAACATTGTGTGGTCTCCTATCATCTTGATTCTAGTCTGTTGCAACAATAGAATATAGTAGGTTTGATACTGTGCCGTTTTGGAGTCCAGTTCTTAATTGCCTTAGACATTCCTGTGTCTTTTTGCAATAGTCACTCTAGGAACAGTTTTTCTTATTGTTCTGAGGCACCTTGTATGAAGTCTAGGCTTCTTTTTGGAGAGATTAAAAAGCTATGTGGAGAAGCCCTAGAAAATAATGGACAGCGAGTCCAGAAAGAGAAGGGACAAGGCAGCAGGCATTTGGCACCAGCTATGGTGCAGTCGCCAACTCAGTCTGTGTAAGAGACTCCAAGAGTGACCAGTAAAGGAACTGCCCTGCTGAGACCCAGCTAACCGATGAAACTATGAGATATAATAGCAACAGGTAACTGAAACAGTGTTTGGTACATAGAAGCAGGGTGCTGCCATTAAAGAAAAAAAAAAATCTGAACTATACTGCACTGACTTTTGGAACAGGTGGTTGGTCTCAAAGAGATGGTGAAGATTTGAAGAACAATAAGCAGTCAGTTACTGCAAGTTGGAGGAAAGAGGATCAAGAGTGTACTGGAAGAACAATTAAAAAAACCATAAACTGCGGTTACAGAAAATATAGAAAGGGAAACTGATAGATTTGTGGGGCTAAGGAGATTCCAGGCAGACAGTTCAAAGTTTCGACTGGCTGTGACACAGAAGCAAGACAATCTTAAAAAAAAATAAATAAAAAGGATATTCTAAGTTTATTATCTCCTGCTACATTTCAGTTTACATAAAATAGTACCAGAAAATGAAATGAATGTATATGTAAATTAACCAGTAATAAATGTAAGTACTTACACTATACTACACTAAAGAGGTCAGGGCTTCCTTACTTCTAAAATAAAACTTCCCATTCAAAGTCTCTCCAGAAAACAAGAATGTTAGAGGCTTTCACATCTAGCTGAAAGTATCTGTAAGAGATTGTCTTAAGCAGGCCTGTAAGAATGTGGAGTGTGTTTTGTATAGCTTCTCATCTATACAATTGAGATTCTAAAATCCTTCAAAACAGTGTCCACAGCACTTTGACTCTTAAAGTATATAATTGATATACCAGTATAATATTCTCTATTCCCTTTGTTTATACATTCCTCTATGGAACTAAGTTAAGCAAAGTTTCTTTAAAGCTATTAATACAGTGACACAAATAATTGAATAAAATCTATTATTCAACAATGTTTTTTACTATTAAAAGATAATTCATTATTTGACTTCTTAATAATTTGTTAATGGCTGCAGTAGCTCCCAGTAAAATAAAATTAAAGCCATAGATTTTTCTATTCAAGTAATGTTTAGAAACTAGAAAAATCAAACAAAAACAATAATGTGTTAAATATTCAATTGAGGAATGCAGAGATCAGTACAGGAGAATGGAGAGAATGTAAAGAACAGTTATGGAAAAGTTAGCATTTGAGAAAATTCTTAAAGAATGCATAGCTCAAAAACATAAATAACACAGTTTGAGGATACGAGATTTGCCAGACACTGTTGTGTGCTGGGATTCTCAGAAATGAGCTACACAAGCAGATCACTAATGTTTTAAGTCCAGTAGGATATATGACTATTACTCAAACAAAAGTAATTTTTTTAATGTCAAGGATTATTTTACAAAAGAGTCCATCAGTTTAGCTAACTGATATATGATAAAGCCCCCTTGAAGTAGAAAGGAGCTTGGTCAACTTTGAGAGCAGAAAGAAGAGCTAGACTGGCTGATGCATGGCAAGAAAAGGAGAAACACATGATGTCATTTTCACAGAAAGGCCAGACTCTAAGGCCCTTTGTAGGGTAAGGCAAAGCTTAGAAACTTTTACTACGTGTGACAGAAAGTCCAGGAGTGGGAAAAGAGATCTGATCTTCCATTGAAGGTTCAAGTGTATGGTGGGTGGAGAGCTATGTAAGGGTGCAACCATGGCAAATGACTTATTTGGAAAGTATTGGGCAGATAACTTTAGTGTGGGCTAAAGTAAGGAGAGTGAAGATTAAAAGATGCAGACATATTTGCAAGGTTTGTTTTAGTTAGAATTGAAATAACTTACTGAAGGATAGAGAATTGAGTGGTGTAAAGTAAAGGCAATTTTTTGACTTGAAGAACTGGATGTGAGGACCAATTAACTCTAAAGTTTGCTGAGTTAGAGATGTCCATTGCATATCTATGTGGAGATAAAAAGCGGGCATTTAAGTCAAAGATGAAGATTCAATTAAGAATTTTAAAGTACCACCATCCCATGTCCTATTTTATTTTGTAGTAACAACACCTTTTTGAGAGAGATATTACTTAAAATATTTTAGGTGAGGAAGTGGATATAAGGAATATTGAGTAATTTTTAAAATTGTTGTAATTTCAAAAAGGTAGAAAGAAAATTTGGATTCCAGTCTTCATAGCTTTACAGGCACTTATCTTTTTATTGCTTTGAGTGGGTAGGTGGAAAGGATGGCTGGAGGGGATTCTTTTGGAAATATCAAAGCAAACAAATAAACTACAAAAATAAAAATTGGTTACTAAAAGCCATGGGACATCCATTTGCCTTTGGGGACTATGTTCAGCATGGTTAGAACATAGAGGTGTTGAGAGAGGAAATCATGCTTGAAGAAACAGTTGGAAAATGGATTACATGCTGAGGACATTTTTTCTGAAACTATGGAATGTTCTTATATTACTTTGATCAGAAAAAAAGAATAAGTGTTTTATAAAGATCACTTTGGCATTATTAGGGAAGACTAACTGAAATGGCCTTAGACTGGAAGTAGGAAGTTTTCCATGTTAGGAATAGTGAGGATTTGATTTGTATCAGTAGCAACAGGAAAAGTGAGATATAGGTAGCTTTGTCAGAATATTTAGAAGCTTAAAAAATTATTTTAGTAGCTGGATTCACAGGATGAAAAATAATTGTAAACAAACATAATCTCTGGATTGAGACACAAGTTTGATGGTGATGATTTCAAATGCAATAAAATACAGTAAATATACAGGCAATAAGTTAATTTAAAGGTAAATTAATGACAATAGTTTAGCCATGTTGACTCAAGATAATATACTTTACCCTTAGGAGTGCTAAGATTACCTTTTCAAGATAGCCAATTAAGTATTCAGTTCATTTAAATTAGCTAACTATGTGGTAAAGAAAACACTTACTCCAGAGTAAATGTTGCTGTCCGGTCCATTACTTGGATTAACCTAAAAGCCTCACTTCAGCAGAACATGTCTTACTTTTTTTCTGTAGTAGCTATTGCTCCCTTTATCAATATAAGACAGGAAGCTTTTCTCTGATCAGAAATATAAAAAAAATATCAACTTTCAGTCTAAGACTGAGATGGCCCTAGTAGCTTCAAGTTTTTGTCATTTTCAAGTAACTCTCAGCTTTTCAAATTTCATCAGAAAAATTTTCTCTCCTTTTGATACTGATGAAAAGTCTTTAACCTGTGCCTTGGTATTATCGACATCTTCATTATGCAAATATATGATGTTGTGGGAAATTATAAGCCACAGCAATTGATTATAATGAGAATTCATTGTGCAGAGGGGTGGTTAGGAACAAGAAGCCTAATTCTATGAAGATTCCAAAGGAGCTACATGGACCAAGGTAGAAATTCCTGTAAGGTAAGATCACATATTTTTTCAAGTAATCAGTATGTGTTCTGTAGACCTAAGGGATTTAACTGTCATATTTTAAGGTAAATGTCAAAGAAGAAATTATATATTTGAAATGGAATAAAGAGACGTCTGTTTAGGCAACTGGTCAAACCCAGTGAAAGGTTTCAGCTATTTTCCCTACAAATTTAACTTCAAAATTGGGACAGTTGGAGAAATGTGAATATATATTATAAACTAAATAATAGTTTGTATAAATGTTAAATTTTGTGAATTCAATAATTGTATATGGTTAATTAAGAATATATCCATTTTGTGGGAAAAAAACTATTGAAGTATCTAGAGGTAAAATGGCATCAGATATTCAACCCACTGTGAAATGGGTCAAAGCATATATATGTGTGTGGGTGTGGGTGTGTGGGCATGTGCATACAGAAAGAGAAACATAAAATACTATAACAAATATAGCAAAATATTACTTGATGAATCTGGATAATGAGCACACCAAGTTTCTTTTTATTGTTACTTTTCACTAATTGTGCAATTCTCTGTAATTACTACAAAGTCAATTTTTAAATAATGAATATGCTTTTAATTATAGTATTGGAAGCTATACTTTAGAGTTCATTGGCACAGTTTTTGGAAGTAATTTCAATGCAGTTACAATTGAAGAAATGTAGGCAACATTCTCTCTTTCTCATTCATTGTTATATTTCATAACAAAAATTTTCAGCTTCACTGTATGCAGTAAAGTGAAAAGAATGTGACTGAGTAATGTTATTTAGAAATTAGGATTTGTGACCATGAAATGTTTCCTGATTAACTTGATAGTCTGTGTTTTTTAGAAAACTTTTGTTTGGAAAATAATTTTGTTTTGTTTTGTTTTTTCGAGAGACTGACCAATCGTAAATCATGATTCAAAGTATCAGAGTTTCTCAGCAAATTATGAGTATTTAACAAATTCAGGATATGGATTACCCTTTCTCAACAGTTTTAAAGTATGTTGCTATATTCACTGTATAGAATAGAATGTATTATTTTCACTTGGAGCTCAAAAATGTGAGGTGATTCATTATATTTGCACATATAAAAATTAAAGCATTGTAAAATCTTGTTTAGTATAAAATTTTGTGCATATTTTAGCTCAATATTCTTGATTTTTAAAATTGAAATTATGGACCTTCAAGTCATTTTTTTTATGAAAATTTAGATAAACTATCTTGGAGATACGTGCCAGATATTCGTAATCTCATGTCCTAACAATCTTTATAATTTTGTATAGTATATTCCCGAAGAATACTGATATAGAAATAAAAAATATGTCTGGTGTGCAACTCTCTGTAACGCTCCTTTTTATTGTCTCCAGTTAATACTGTTAATCCACATATATACACATAGTATTAAATGAAAATGATTATATATATCCATATTAAGAAAAACAATATTTTTAAAAAGAATTCTTCTAGTGATTTTTTTCAAATATGTAATAATTTATAACAAACATGTAAACATGTAATAATAGGTTTAATTTTATCTATTAGTTGTTTTGGACTTCTAAACTGTCAAAAACATGGTAAATTTAAATAATCGATGTAAAAACTATTTTAGAAAGTTTTAAAATGATATTAGAAGTACTATTCATAATAAATTTAAAAACATTTTAGGATAACTTCATATTTTTAACGTTTTAATTTTTAGGGGTTGCATAGCACACATTTACCTATGTAACAAACTTGCACATCCTACACTGAGACTTAAAAATAATAATAATAATAATTTTTGTAAAAAAGAAAAGAAAAAATATATCATCTGACATATTTTGAAAATTGGTAGTTCTTTGACTTAAATATTTATATCAGGGCATTTAATGAATTCTATGTTAGGATGAAATCAATGTTTTAAACTTATGGAACTATAAAATATTTTATATAATAATTTATAAAACATTATTGCCACATAGAAAATAAGAGAATCTCATGTGGTTTTTGTCTTTGGTTCTGTTTATATGCTGGATTACATTTATTGATTTGCGTATATTGAACCAACCTTGCATCCCAGGGATGAAGCCCACTTGATCATGGTGGATAAGCTTTTTGATGTGCTGCTGGATTCGGTTTGCCACTATTTTATAGAGGATTTTTGCATCAACGTTCATCAAGGATATTGGTCTAAGATTCTCTTTTTTGGTTGTGCCTCTGCCAGGCTTTGGTATCAGGATGATGCTGGCCTCATAAAATGAGTTAGGGAGGATTCCCTCTTTTTCTATTGATTGGAATAGTTTCAGAAGGAATGGTACCAGTTTCTCCTTGTACCTCTGGTAGAATTCGGCTGTGAATCCATCTGGTCCTGGACTCTTTTTGGTTGGTAAGCTATTGATTATTGCCACAATTTCAGAGCCTGTTATTGGTCTATTCAGAGAGTCAACTTCTTCCTGGTTTAGTCTTGGGAGGGTGTATGTGTCAAGGAATTTATCCATTTCTTCTAGATTTTCTAGTTCATTTGTGTAGAGGTGTTTGTAGTATTCTCTGATGGTAGTTTGTATTTCTGTGGGATCCGTGGTGATATCCCCTTTTATCATTTTTTTTGCATCTATTTGATTCTTCTGTCTTTTTTCCTTTATTAGTCTTGCTAGTGGTCTATCAATTTTGTTGATGCTTTCAAAAAATCAGCTCCTGGATTCATTAATTTTTTGAAGGGTTTTTTGTGTCTCTATTTCCTTCAGTTCTGCTCTGATTTTAGCTATTTCTTGCCTTCTGCTAGCTTTTGAATGTGTTTGCTCTTGCTTTTCTAGTTCTTTTAATTGTGATGTTAGGGTGTCAGTTTTGGATCTTTCCTGCTTTCTCTTGTGGGCATTTAGTGCTATAAATTTCCGTCTACACACTGCTATGGTTATTTCAATAGATGCAGAAAAGGCCTTTGACAAAATTCAACAATGCTTCATGCTAAAAACTCTCAATAAATTAGGTATTGATGGAACGTATCTCAAAATAATAAGAGCTATCTATGACAAACCCACAGCCAATATCATACTGAATGGGCAAAAACTGGAAGCATTCCCTTTGAAAACTGGCACTAGACAGGGATGCCCTCTCTCACCACTCCTATTCAACATAGTGTTGGAAGTTCTGGCCAGGACAATTAGGTGGGAGAAGGAAATAAAGGGTATTCAATTAGGAAAAGAGGAAGTCAAATTGTCCCTGTTTGCAGATGACATGATTGTATATCTAGAAAACCCCATTGTCTCAGCCCAAAATCTTCTTAAGCTGATAAGCAACTTCAGCAAAGTCTCAGGATACAAAATCAACATACAAAAATCACAAGCATTCTTACACACCAATAACAGACAAACAGAGAGCCAAATCATGAGTGAACTCCCATTCACAATTGCTTCGAAGAGAATAAAATACCTAGGAATCCAACTTACAAGGGATGTGAGGGACCTCTTCAAGGAGAACTACAAACCACTGCTCACTGAAATAAAAGAGGATACAAAGAAATGGAAGAACATTCCATGCTCATGGGTAGGAAGAATCAATATCGTGAAAATGGCCATACTGCCCAAGGTAATTTACAGATTCAATGCCATCCCCATCAAGCTACCAATGCCTTTCTTCACAGAATTGGAAAAAACTACTTTAAAGTTCATATGGAACCAAAAAGAGCCCGCATCACCAAGTCAATCCTAAGCCAAAAGAACAAAGCTGGAGGCATCACACTACCTGACTTCAAACTATACCACAAGGCTACAGTAACCAAAACAGCACGCTACTGGTACCAAAACAGAGATATAGATCAATGGAACAGAACAGAGCCCTCAGAAATAATGCCGCATATCTACAACTATCTGGTCTCTGACAAACCTGAGAATAATAAGCAATGGGGAAAGTATTCCCTATTTAATGAATAGTGCTGGGAAAACTGGCTAGCCATATGTAGAAAGCTGAAACTGGATCCCTTCCTTACACCTTATACAAAAATTAATTCAAGATGGATTAAAGACTTAAATGTTAGACCTAAAACTGTAAAAACCCTAAAAGAAAACCTAGGCATTACCATTCAGGACATAGGCATGGGAAAGGACTTCATGTCTAAAACACCAAAAGCAATGGCAACAAAAGCCAAAATTGACAAATGAGATCTAATTAAACTAAAGAGTTTCTGCACAGCAAAAGAAACTACCATCAGAGTGAACAGGCAACCTACAAAATGGGAGAAAATTTTCGCAACCTACTCATCTGACAAAGGGCTAATATCCAGCATCTACAATGAACTCAAACAGAATTACAAGAAAAAAACAAACAACCCCATCAAAAAGTGGGCGAAGGACATGAACAGACACTTCTCAAAAGAAGACGTTTATGCAGCCAAAAAACACATGAAAAAATGCTCACCATCACTGGCCATCAGAGAAATGCAAATCAAAACCACAATGAGATACCATCTCACACCAGTTAGAATGGCAATCATTAAAAAGTCAGGAAACAACAAGTGCTGGAGAGGATGTGGAGAAATAGGAACACTTTTACACTGTTGGTGGGACTGTAAATTAGTTCAACCATTGTGGAAGTCAGTGTGGCGATTCCTCAGGGATCTAAAACGTGAAATACCATTTGATCCAGCCATCCCATTACTGGGTATATACCCAAAGGACTATAAATCATGCTGCTATAAAGACACATGCACACGTATGTTTATTGTGGCACTATTCACAATAGTAAAGACTTGGAACCAACCCAAATGTCCAACAATGATAGACTGGATTAAGAAAATGTGGCACATATACACCATGGAATACTATATAGCCATAAAAAATGATGAGTTCATGTCCTTTGTAGGGACATGGATGACATTGGAAATCATCATTCTCAGTAAACTATCGCACGGACAAAAAACCAAACACTGCATGTTCTCACTCATAGGTGGGAATTGAACAATGAGAACACATGGACACAGGAAGGGGAACATCACACTCTGGGGACTGTTGTGGGGTGGGGGGAGGGGTAGGGATAGCATTAGGAGATATACCTAATGCTAAATGATGAGTTAATGGGTGCAGCACACCAGCATGGCACATGTATACATATGTAACTAACCTGCACATTGTGCACATGTACCCTAAAACTTAAAGTATAATAATAATAATAATAATAAAATTAGAAGTATTCTGAGAAAAAAAAAGAAAATAAGAGAATCTCCATTGAACGTATATACTTCACTTTAAATTTCATTGCAGAAAAAGTTTAGATGGTATTAAAAACTCAATCTAACTGATGTATCAGATCTCAGTTTTAATTTTATGTCATTTAAAATGCACTTTTAAAATGTTTAAACAAGGAAAAAATGCTCTTTTGTTACAATAGCTTATTTTTTTTAACTTTTTACTTGTAAATAATTTCACACTCACAGAAAGTTGACAAAGAAAAAGTCATGCAATACCCTTACCCACATTCAGCTATAGTCAACATTTTACCCCATTGGTTTGAACTCTCTCCCCCTCTTTCTCTTAACTTGCCTTTGTCTCTTGTCCATTTTTTTAATTACTCAATCACATATTTTATTTTATCATTTTTTAAATTTTACTTTAAGTTCTGGGATACCTGTGCAGAACGTGCAGGTTTGTTACATAGATATACGTGTGCCATGATGGTTTGCTGCACCTATCAACCCACCATCTAGGTTTTAAGCCCTGCATGCATTAGATATTTGTCCTAATGCTCTTCCTCTCCTTGCCCCCTACCACCTGAAATCTCTTTTTTATAGTAAAAAGTTTATTTTTTGTTTTTGACAATAGCTAATCAAATATTGGATTAAGCTAAAAAGATATATAATATTATTTTAAAAGGCATATGGAATTAAATAGCCTAGATACTCCTAAATAGTTACATTGGTTAAAGAAAATCTGAGGTATAATTTTGTCATCTACAAAATACAAGTAATCCTTTTTTATATCTTATAAATATACTGTAAATCTCAAACCAAACAATTCAATAAAGACTTCTAAATACTATACGATGTTATAGAAATAAAAAGAAATTCTTAGAAATTTGTGGAAATTAGAGGAGAGGCATGAAAACTTCTCTCATTCTCCATGAAAGTAACCTTTTGTTTGTCATGTTAAATTAGATTGCTGAAGGATCCATGTAACATCTTACTTAAGCTCATAATTCTGTCTGTAAATGAAGTTTTATCAAATGATTTTATAAAACAAACACTGTATTATAGTAAAGGTTTTTTTTGTTGTTGTTTGTTTGTTTTTGAGACAGAGTTTGGAGTCTCGTTCTGTCGCCAGGCTGGAATGCAGTGGCGTGATCTCGGCTCGCTGCAACCTCTGTCTCCCGGGTTCAACAATTCTCCTGCCTCAGCCTCCCAAGTAGCTGGAATTACAAGCATGCACCACCACCCCCAGCTAATTTTTGTATTTTTAGTGGGGGAAGGGGGGTGGTTCACCATGTTGGCCAGGATGGTCTCGATCTCCTGACCTCGTGATCCATCCACCTCGACCTCCCAAAGTCCTGAGATTACAGGCGTGAGCCACTGCTCCTGGCTAGTAACGTGTTTGTTTGTTTGTTTTAGTGCATTGAGTCTTGTGTTTGATATATGCAGGGAATAAAAACCGTGTCACATCGGAAACTATTGTGGCAGCTAGATATAAGAATCTCCAAGAGAAAATATGGAGACCTGTGTTCTATTTTCACGTATCTTGGGAGGTTACACTGTAAAATATCGAACTGTTACAGCAAATTTTCAGTTTGATAATTGGATAGATAAAGTCACACAGGTCATGGTCACTGAACAAATCTGTAAAAGTAATATATTTGTGAAACAATAATTTATAACAAAAGTTCATTGGAAAACTGTCAAAACAATCATTCAAGCCAAATATTTTGGAAGGATGTTGTAATTTATGAAGCAAATACCCATACTGAGGCACAAAATGACATATGAGGGTATATGGAGAACTAGTGTGATGAAGTAGGCCCATATGCCTATATGTTTATAAATTAGTTTCAACATAGAAAGAGAGGACAGAGAAAGTTGTCATTTCTTCATAAGAAAAGTAACATTTAGTAGACTAATTACACCACAGTTATACAAGTATCCATCTTAATAGGATTGAAACCAAAGTATCACTGATATTAATGACAAAAAATGTTTTGGTTTTGGTTTACATCAATGATTTTCAAGCACATAAATTGATTTTTTAAAATAAAATATGATTTTCTTAATTTACTCAGAACAAAACTATTCTTTGTTTAATATTCTATCCAATACATTATGAATATCTCTCTCAATAGCATGTAGGAATGAAACATTCTTCCCAACATATCAAATGTCATTATGAAAATCATTGAAAGTGTGAGGTTTCAAATAATAATTAATGGAAAGAAAGTGGAAAGGCAACAGAAGAATGGAGGATTAAATTGGAAAATACTGTATAAATTTTTTAATAAAGACTAAATAATTGGCTGCATTGGTATAAAAAAAGATGACTAGAGTATCCATGAAAATGCTTGCAGGCAGGCATATGTGATTTTATGCAGCGTATTTAAGACTGAACCTTCAAAAAAGTATTGGTAGTACCAGAGGCAGGATATATGGCACAATCTAAATTCAGAATAGTCTTAAATGAAGTTATTTTTTCTGTAGTGCTAATGACTTTTTTTTTTTTAACTTTAAGTTCTGGGATACATGTGCAGAACGTGCAGGTTTTTTACATAGGTATACATGTGCCATGGTGGTTGTTGCACCTATCAACCTGTCATCTAGCTTTTAAGCCCCGCATGCATTAGGTATTTGTCTTAATGCTCTCCCTCCCCTTGCTCCTGATCCCCTCACAGGCCCAGGTGCATGTTGTTCCCCTCCCTTTGTCCACGTGTTCTCATTGTTCAACTCCCACTTATGAGTGAGAACATGCGGTGTTTGATTTTCTGTTCCTGTGTTAGTTTGCTGAGGATGATGGTTTCCAGCTTCATCCATGTCCCTGCAAAGGACATGAACTCATCCTTTTTTATGGCTGCATGGTATTCCATGGTGTATGTGTGCCACATTTTCTTTATCCAGTCTATCATTGATGGGCATTTGGGTTAGTTTCAAGCCTTTGCTATTGTGAATAGTGCCGCAATAAACATACGTGTGCATGTGTCCTTATTGTAGAATGATTTTTAATCCTTTAGGTATATACCCAGTAACAGGATTGCTGGGTCAAATGGTATTTCTAGTTCTAGATCCTGGAGGAATCACCACACTGTCTTCCACAATGGTTGAACTAATTTACACTCCCACCAACAGTGTAAAAGTGTTTCTATTTCTCCACATCCTCTCCAGCATCTGTTGTTTTTGATTTTTTTTTTTTTTTTTTTTTTGAGATGGAGTCTCGTTCTGTCGCCCAAGCTGGAGTGCAGTGGCCTGATCTCGGCTCACTGCAAGCTGTGCCTCCTGGGTTCACGCCTTTCTCCTACCTCAGCCTCCCAAGTAGCTAGGACTACAGGCGCCCGCCACCAAGCCTGGCTAATTTTTTGTATTTTTTAGTAGAGACGGGGTTTCACCGTGTTAGCCAGGATACTTCTCGATCTCCTGACCTCGTGATCCGCCTGCCTCGGCCTCCCAAAGTGTTGGCATTACAGGCGTGAGCCACCGCGCCGGCCTGTTTCTTGACTTTTTAATGATCGCCATTCTAACTGGCGTGAGATGGCATCTCATTGTGGTTTTGATTTGCATTTCTCTAATGACCAGTGATGATGAGCTTTTTTTCATTTATTTGTTGGCTGCATAAATGTCTTCTTTTGAGAAGTATCTGTTCATATCCCTTGCCAGCTTTTTGATGGGGTTTTTTTTTTTTCATGTAAATTTGTTTAAGTTCCTTGTAGATTCTGTATATTAGACCCTGGTCAGATGGATGGATTGCAGAAATTTTCTCCCCATTCTGTAAATTGCCTGTTCACTCTGATAGTTTCTTTTGCTGTGCAGAGGCTCTTTAGTTTAATTAGATTTTGGCTTTTGTTGCAATTGCTTTTGCTGTTTTAGTCATGAAGTATTTGCCCATTCACATGTCCTGAATGGTATTGGCTAGGTTTTCTTCTAGAGTTTTTATTGTTTTAGGTTTTATGTTTAAGTGTTTAATCCGTCTTGAGTTAATTTTTGTATAAGGTGTAAGGAAGGGGTCCAGTTTCAGTATTCTCCATATGGCTAGCCAGTTTTCCCAGCACCATTTATTAAATAGGGAATCCTTCACCCCATTGCTTGTTTTTGTCAGATTTGTCAAAGATCAGATGGTTGTAGATGTGTGGTGTTTTTTTTCTGAGGCCTCTATTTAGTTCCATTGATCTATATATCTTTTTTTGTATCAGTACCATGTTGTTTTTGCTACTGTAGCCTCGTAGTAGAAAGTCAGGTAGCGTGATGCCTCCAGCTTTCTTCTTTTTGCTTAGGATTGTCTTGGCTATAGGAGATCGTTTTTGGTTCCATATGAAATTTAAAGCAGTTTTTTTCTAGTTCTGTGAAGAAAGTCAATGGTAGCTTGATGAAAACAGCACTGAATCTATAAATTACTTTGGGCAGTGTGGCCATTTTCACAATATTGATTCTTCCTATCCATGAGCATGGAATATCTTTCATTTGTTTGTGTCCTCTTTTATTTCCTTGAGCAGTGGTTTGTAGTTCTCCTTAAAGAGGTTCTTCATGTCCCTTGTAAGTTGTATTCCTAGGTATTTTATTCTCTTTGTAGCAATTGTGAATGGGAGTTAACTCATGATTTGGCTCTCTGCTTGTCTATTATTGATGTATAGGAATGCTTGTGATTTTTGCACATTGATTTTCTATCCTGAGACTTTGCTGAAGTTGTTTATCAGTTTAAGGAGATTTGGGGCTGAGACGACGGGGTTTTCTAAATACACAATTATGTCATCTGTAAACAGAGACCATTTGACTTCCTCTCTTCCTATTCGTATACCCTTTATTTATTTCTCTTGCCTGATTGCCCTGGCCAGAACTTCCAATACTATGTTGAATAAAAGTGTTGAGAAAGGGCATCCTTGTCTTTTGCCAGTTTTCAAGGGGAATAAGTTGACTTTTGTAGCTTCTCCATACAAAGTATGGATGTTATATAGTCTAAACCAAAGCAGTGCAGGAGTCTTTGTCTCTTTTATTTCCTGGTTAATTATAAATTATTTTAATATGACCAAAATATGGTAGATGCTCAATTATACTTACTAAATGAATGGATAATTAATAATCAATGCTGTAATTACAGTTCTCCAGAAAGATGGAACCAGTGAGAGAGAGAGAGAGAGAGAGAGAGAGAGAGAGGGAGAGAGAGAGAGAGAGAGAAAATAGATAAACAGACAGATAGGTAGATAGATGATAGATGGTTGAGAGGAAATTTTTTAGGAGAATTGGTTCACACAACAATAATGAAGGTTGAGAAGTCCCAGGACCAGACATCTGCAAGCCGGAGACCCTGGGATGCCAGGAGGTGGCTCAGTCTTAGTATGAATGTCTCAGAACCAAGAAAGCCAATGGTGTAACTCAATCTGAGACCAAAGCCCTGATAACCTAGCGGGCTTCTACTGATAAGTCCTGGAGTCCAAAGGCTGGAGAGCCTGTAGTTACTGTTCAAAGACAAGAGAGCAAGAGTGTATCCTAATTCCAGCAGAAAGATGGAAACATTTGCCTTTTCTCTGCTTTTGTTCTCTCTAGGCCCCCAGCAGATTGAATGGTGCATCCCCTCATTGAGGGTGGATCTTCCCCACCAAGTCCACTCAGAATCACATTCAATCAATCAAGTCTCTAGGTGTTCTTTAATACAGTCAATTTGACACCTAAAATTAACCATCACAGATGCTAAACTAATATATATCCCAAAGCATACTGATAATATAAAATTGTTCTTCTGATTTCTTTTTGGTACTACATGACTTGAATCTTCAATTAACTAATTAAAGGTAAAACTAAAAGGAAATAAACATGAAACATTATATTTGTGGGCCAACTAAAACACTGTGAATCTTGAATTCAGTTTTCATAGTAGATAGAAACACTTTCCTATATTGCCAAATATACCAAATTAGAAAAAAATAAAATAAAAATTGTAAGACATATATGAAGTTAAATTACAGTCTAAATTTCATAAGTATAAAAATACCTATACACATGTATTTGTTTGATTTATTTATATTGGTTTTAGTTAATGGCTTTACATAGTATGAGTATTAAATTATTTTCATTCAACTTAGCAAATAAGTCATAGTGAGTATGTACTGAAAAAATTATGGCTATAATATTTATCCTCCTCAAATATTATTTCAATTTTATTTATATTATTTTGGATTAGTGTTAAAGAAGGTGTCATTAATCTTATATTTTGTGGTAAACTTTGAAAAAAGTTTATTTATACTGTTCTTCGATTTGATTTAGATGAATTGTATACTATAGTTTTTCTACATATTAAGCATATATAATTTTGGAATGAGATCCAGTGTAGAACGTTTTCAAAATCCAAACCATTATTCTAACCTATTTTGCTATGTTTTTAAATAAAATCCCTTTACTATTAAATTTAAAAAATTGTTCCTTCTATAAAAATATGAGGTTAATTGATTAATCAAATCTTAAAGACTTAGTAAATTTAAATTAATAAATACAACTGAATGATAAATAATATATTTTATCATTATGTCAGAAAGGTATTTGAAATAGGAAGACAAAGTCAAATTTTAGAATATTAAGCTTAAAAACAATAATCAAGGTCTTAAAGTCAGTTAGGACTCTGATAAGTTATATTTACACTGAAACACAGTAGTATAAAATCACTGTTAATATAATTTTCAAAATGGTAATTCAATATAAATTAATATAATTTACATGATTATTAATTTTAGAAATAGATAATATTAGCATTAGATTATCTGATCTATAATTGAGTATGAGAAATTTAGATTAGTCAGATTATCCTAATCACAAAAACACAAGCACAAATTTCATGAAGAAAATATACAGTCTAATTTTAAAAAAGGAAAAAGACATACAGATATTTTTAAAAACCTCAATTATCAAATTTGTTTAATTTTTCCAAGGATTCACATAGAATATGTGAACTTGAATTCTGATATAAATATTATTCAGAGCTAGAGACGGCTTTTGCTCTGTTTTATACCTTTAAAAGTATATTTCAGTATTGTTATTCTTCTTTGGTGGGGGTTAGTGGTGATATTTATCTCTTTCTTTATATTACATTTAGCTAGCTTATTAGTCTCAATAAACTGACAAAAATAGAGATCATTCATTTTAAAATACTTCATAATCTAGAGTTAGAAGAACATCTTATTTGCACTATGTGAGAAACAGGGCCTGTATCATTTGTAAGCTCACAGGCCACAATATAGTGATTTTAAAACAAAAATTGTATTATTTTCATTAATTCTGTGTTTCAGAGATTGGGATGGGGAATAGTGGGTATGGCTTCTTTTTTTTTTTTCTATTATGTGTGGAGATAAGAAGAATTAAAGTTTGTAGATGACTTGAAAGCTAGGAGCTGAAATCATCTGGAGGCTCTTTCAACTTACTCTGACACCAGGGTTAGGATAACTTGGAGACTGTGCTGGCTGACTAAGCTTATATTCTTCTTGTGGCTCAGCTGGTGAAAATTTTAATGTAAGGTAATGCAATGCAATGTAATTTTTAATTTACAGATTTTATATATATTTTATATAGAGAGATAATATATATATCTATCTGTGGGTTACAATGTGATATTTTGATATATATTGAGCCTGTGGAATGACTAAATCAAGCTAACATATCTATCACCTGATATACTTATCAATTTTTTGTGGACTGTTAAAGTCTAATCCTTAGGCAATTATAAAATATGCAACATATTATTATTAATTAACCTGGAAGATATTATGCTAAATGAAACAAGCCAGGTGCAAAAGGGCAAAAACTATGTGATCTCACTTACATATATAATCTACTAAAGTCAAAGTCATAGAAATAGAGAAGAGAACGGTGGAATTTTCAAAACACCAAAGGAATTCCTTGCATAGGCCGGGCACGGTGGCTCAAGCCTGTAATCCCAGCACTTTGGGAGGCCGAGGTGGGTGGATCACCTGAGTTCAGGAGTTCGAGACCAGCCTGGCTAACGTGCTGAAACTCCATCTCTAATAAAAATGCAAAAATTAGCTGGGTGTGGTGGCAGGTGCCTGTAATCCTAGCTACTCAGGAGGCTGAGGTAGGAGAACTGCTTGAACCCAGGAGACGGAGGTTGCAGTGAGCCGAGATCGCATCACTGCACTCCAGCCTGGGTGACAAGAGTGAGACTCCGTCTCAAAAAAAAAAAAAGAAAAGAAAAAGAGAAAAAAAATTCTATGCATAAACAAACACAAAGTTAAAAATCTGGTTGTCATACAAACTTAAGCTTATTTGTTTCCAACATTAATTTAACTCATTAGTTAGGTAACCAGCAGAATGATAAAGCTATTTCCCCAATAGAGTAATTTTCTAAAGTCTCCTTAGCTCAAGGAATTATAGAGTCTAATAAAAGTTGATATTCTCTGTTTTGATTAAGGTGAACTGTGAGCTATGTAACAAAGTGTGGTTCTAAAGGATACATGTTGATTGGCAATGTCATATATTCTAAATTTTAATTTTCATATTAATTATTAATGAAAATGTAGAATGTAACCTTTTTTACTTATAGCTGCTTTTATTCTATGGAGTTAAATGTCATTCAAGAAGTATACAGCCACCCAGGCATATATATACATGATGATTACTGAGGGTTTAAGGCCTATTTTTTTCCACCTAACCAATACAGATTTTAGTTTTTTGTTTTCATACTCAAAACAAGTTCATATTTTCATTGATGGTCATATAAATTTTTTTTTATATTATGTTTATGTTATTCTAAACCTCTGAAGTCTATATCAATTGCTTATAGTTTCTAAGCTACTTATGCATTTATTATTTCTGTTTTAGCTGTATTGATAATAAAACATAACTGTGTAAGATAACTTTATAACTTTTTTGGAGTCAGTTGCAATCAATACTTTATTAAATAAAAAGATTTCTGTTTGTAGAATTTAATACTAATGGTAGTATTATGTAAAAGTAGCTTTCTAACAATTTTATAATTTTAATTAAATGTTTTCTTAGCCCTTACAAAATCAATTCATTTGTTTTACTTCTCTTTCAGTTTTAAATACTAACAAAAGGGAAAAGAATAAAACTAATTTAAATGCCTAATATTGTACTGGAAAAATGTGAAAGGGATAAAAACTATTCAGTGTCAGTGTGTAACTCAATAAGGATCCTTTGTTCCAAAGAACAATTGGCTCTACATTGTGATTTTTTCATAAGTATGATTCAGTTGCTGTTTTAAACATAAAGTCATGGGACTCCTCACTACAAAAAAAATACTAAGAGGAAAATTGATCTAGTGCTGGGATAGAAATATATTATCAGTATCATATGTATTATCAGCATCACATGCATTTTGATGAATTCTAAATTTCTGGGATAGATGCAGCATATTATTTAAGATTCTTTTTAGTGACTTACTTGGAAATACACCCTGTTGAACACATCTTCACTTAAAACTGTTAGATTAACTGACAATTACATGTATGTGTGTTTTATTAATATAATTTGTTTTTAAAACAGTTTTAGGTTTATAGAAAATTGAGCAGAGAGTGCAGAGAGTTCCCATATACCCCCCTTATTATACCTTGCATTAGTGTTAGGGCTGATGCTTGTTAAGACTGATCAGGCAATACTGATATATTATTATTATTGTTGGGAACAGGCCCCCCAAAATCTGGCCATAAACTGTTCCCAAAACTGGCCTTAAACAAAATCTCTGCAGCATTGTGACATGTTCGTGATGGCCGTAACACCTACACTGGAAGGTTGTGTGTTTACCGGAATGAGGGCAAGGAACACCTGGCCTAACCAGGGTGAAAACCACTAAATGGTGTTCTTGAACCACAAACAACAGCATGAACGATCTGTACCTTAAGGACATGCTCCTGCTGCAGATAACTAGCCAAACTCATCCCTTTATTTCAGCCCATCCCTTTGTTTCCCATAAGGAATACTTTTAGTTAATCTATAATCTATAGAAACAAGGCTTATCACTGACTTACCGTCAATAAACACGTGGATAAATCTCTGTTCGAGGCTCTCAGCTCTGAAGGCTATGAGACCCCTGATTTCCCACTCCACACCCCTATATTTCTGTGTGTGTGTCTTTAATTCCTCTAGCGCCGCTGGGTTAGGGTCTCCCCTACCGATCTGGTCTCGGCAATTTTTACCTAAATTTATAGTTTAGGATTCAGTCCTTGGTTATACAGTTCTCTGTGTTTAATCACAGATATTTTAACAAAATTTGTATTTCTCTCTTTTTAAAATAAATTTTATTATATATATTTAAGATATGATGTTATATAATACACATAGTAAAATAGTTACTATAGTGAAACAAATTTACATATATTAATCATCTCATATAATTATCCATTTTTGTGCCAATAGTAGTTACTCATTTAGTAAAAATATCAAATACAATACAGTATTATTAACTATAGTATTCATGTTTTATTTAGACTTGTTGATTCTACATATCTGCTTTGTATCCTTTGACAAGTGAGATCATGTAAAAAATATTAAAAGGAAAAAACTAAAAAAAATTTGTTCTATATCTGGATTATTTTACTTTGGATAATGTCCTCTAGGTTCATCCACATTGTGGCAAATGACAGGCTTTATTTTTTTGAAGCTGAATAATATTACATTGTAATTTATATACTATGATATCTTTATCTCTTCATCTAACAACAGAAACTTAGGTTATTTTTATATCTTGACTATTGTGAGTAATGCTGCTATGAACACAAGAGTGCAGATATCTTTACGAGGTGATGATTTCTTTCCTTTGGGTATATACTTAGAAGAGAGATTGCTACATTCTGTGAATAGGAACACATAGAGAGCTCATGGATTGAGAAAATTAATATTATTAAAATGTTCATACTGGCTGGAAACAGTGGCTCACGCCTGTAATCCCAGCAATTTGGGAGGCCAAGGCAGATGGATCACAGGTGAGGAGTTCAAAACCAGCCTGGTCAACCTGACGAAACCCCGTCTCTACTAAAAAATGCAAAAATTAGCCAGACATGGTGGTGGGCGCCTGTAATCCCAGCAACTCAGGGTGGTGCTGAGGTACGAGAATCGCTTGAACCCAGGAGGTGGAGGTTGTGGTGAGCCGAGATCGTGCCACTGCACTCCAGCCTGGGTGACAGAATGAGATTCAGTCTCAAAAAAAAAAAAAATTTATACTGCTCAAAGCAATTTCAACACAATCTCTATCAAAACCCCAATGATATTCTTTGTGGAAATGGAAAAAGAAATTCTAAAATCTAAGTGGAACCACAAAAAACCCTAAATAGTCAAAGAAATTCGGAGAAAGAGAAACAAAATTGCAGGCATAATACTTCCTAATTTAAAATTATAATATAAAGCTATAGTAATCAAAATAGAATGGTGCTGGTATAAAAACAGACACTGAGACCAGTGGAACAAAATAGAAAGCTCAGAAATGGGCTCAAAGATATGAACTCAACTGATTTTTAAAAAGGGCACCAAAAGACCACAAATGGGGAAATCACAGTTTCTTCAACGAGTAGTTCTCGGAAAACTAGATTTCCACTTGCAAAAAAAAAATGAAATTTAACCCTTATCATACACCATACACAAAAACCAACTCAAAATGGATAAAACATCTAAACGTAAGATCTGAAATCATAGAACTCCTAGAAAAAAAACATGGGAAAACTCCTTAACATTGCCCTTGGTAATGATTTTTTTGGAATATGTCACCAATACGTCAGCTACAAACACAAAAATAAATGAATGGCTACATAAAACTAAAAACCTCTGTGCAGCAAAGGAAACAAATAAATGAAAAAGCAACCTACAGATTGAAACAATTATTCACAAACCATATATCTTATAAGGGGGTAAGTATTCAATATGTTTAAAGAACACTTACAACTCAATAACAGAAAAACAAATAAGTTGATTACAAAACGGGCATAGGACTCAAATAGACATTACTCCAAAGAAGGCATAAAAATGGTAAAAAGGTTATCAACATTACTAATCATGACAGAATTGAACATCAAAACCACTGTGAGATACTACCTCATACTATTCAGAAAGCTGTTATAGAAATGACAAGAGGTAACAAGTATTGATAGGCATGTGGAAAAAAGAGAGCTTTTGTGCACTGTTGGTGGGAATGTAACAGTCATGGAAAACATTATGGAAGTTACCGTCAGTTTATGTTTTTATGGTCTCTTTTCTGTTAGAGTAACATTTCGTCCAATGAAAATGACTATATTTTGTATCCAAAATACAATATTTCTAACTCTAACAGATATTTCAATCAGAAAATAAACTTTATTATTTAAAACCTCAAATATACTTATCTATGGTTTTAGTTTCATAGAGCAAAATATATCCATTAAAGGTTAAAAACTTCAGTGTATATGACCACAGATTACAGATAACCATGTTCATTTCCTTGTGGTTTGGCAACTAAAATGAGATGAAATAATTTTTGGACCAGATTTCCCTATCATATTTTGCTTATCTTAATTAATAAATAATGTGATTATGTATTATTTCTCTTCTAAAATAGCAATAGCATAAAAAACTTCCTCACAATTTTTTTTTGTATTTCATTGATATTTAGATATACAGATAGAATTGCTTTGAGGAAGGAAATGGCAACATAAGAATTACATGATAAAAATATAGGAAGATACATATGGTTATTTTTCATCTAAATATTGATGAAGTTTCTAATTTATTAGAGTATACTTTATGTAGTTTGCAAAAATCAATGCAAATAGTAAACATTATTGAAAGATTTACCTACAATTTTGTAACCTTCTTAGCAGTTTTGGTTATCATCATGGTATCTGTTATGATGAAAATTTTGTAAATCTGCATCTTTAGTGTTTATACTGCATTTTGTATCCTCAAATCTGCTCTTAAGTATTCTCTGGTAGATTATTCATTGTGTGCAGTGAAACTGGCCTTAAATTCATTCTCTTGCATGAGTTACATATATATAAGATAGAAAATTAGAATTTTTAATCTAATTTCAGAACATAATGGCAGTAAATAAAAGTTATACACATTTCCTACAGTTTCTTATACCTCTTTCGCCAGCTCAGCTAGAATATAAAGCAGGCAAAAAAAAAAAAAAAAAAAACATGAAAACATGAGACCAGCCTAGCCTTCCAGCCTACATCTTTCTCCAATGCTAGATAATTCCTGCCTTCGAACATTCTACTCCAAGTTCTTCAATTTGGGACTTGGACTGGCTTTGCTTGCTCCTCAGCCTGCAGATGGCCTGTTGTGGGACCTCGTGATGATGTAAGTTAATACTTACTAAACTCCCTTTTATTAATTCTGTCTCTATTAGTTTTGCCCCTCAAGAGAACCCTTACTAATACAGATGCACAGAATTGAGCCCAGGAAAATTTGGTGATTTATTTCCAAAATCACACAGCTAAGATAATTTTTGTAATTCTCAGGGAAATGCTTTTTTCACTGTATGTACTATGTTACTCCCTCTCCCATCATTAAAATACCTGCAGCTACAGTCATTCTGACAATGAGTACTTAGATGTATGTTCTATCTACAATTTTATTTTTGTTAATGTTGCATGATGTTCAGCATCATCTATGATATAATGTAGAAAACTGGCTGTAATATACTTATGTTTTATATATAATAAGAAATTGAATAGGGTGCTGAGCATTATACCTTATATCAAATGTTTTAAATGATGTTTAAATAATGTAAAGAAACTTTTTGTATGTTGAAACACATCATTGTGTTAGCCTGTAATGTTATAAATAATAATAATTACAATACTAGATAAGAGATTTAACGATATTAATTTACATATGTGCACAGAGAAATTTAATATTTGAAAATTTAATTCTCTGAAGTATATGGTTTATACCAATTCTTATCTTGGTTTATCTGCTCGAATAAAATGATGTCCATTTATCCTTTAAATGTCAAATATGCAATATATATTTTGCAATGGAAAGAGCCCATTAGAGTACAAGGTAATGAACTCCTTTCAAGTATATTTTATGATTATGACATGTGTTTCAACAATAATTTCATATTTTACGCAAATCTGCAAATTTTCCATTTTGAAAAGATGTGCTTTATTCTTTAATACTACAATTTAAGAAAGTGATATTTACATCACAGTTTGTAATAGGTGGCTGTAAATTTTAGTAGCATTTCTCTGTGATGTCAATCTGTATTGTTTACTTTAGAAACTTGGGCTATATAAAATACAAAACATAAAAATTATAAAATAATTGATTAGTTCACACAAAATTGACTATATTTTAGGTGCCTTACATATTTATGCAGTGGTCCTCCCTTTCACTTTCTGCAGCTTCAATTACCTGCAAAAATTAAATGGAAAATTATAGAAATAAACAATTCATAAGATTTAAATTACATGAGGTTCTGAGTATATTATGAAATTTCATGTGGTGCCACTTTATCCCACTCTACCTTTGCTTCATCACAAGTAGGAGAGTGGGTACAGCACAATGAGATATATTGAGAGATAGAGAGGGAGAGGGAGGTCATATTCACATAATTTTTATTAGCAGATATTATTATAAAGGTTACATTTTATTATTTTTATTAATATCTTACTGTGCCTAATTTATAAATTAAACTTTATTATAGGCATAGAAAAAACATAGTATATATAGGATTTGGTACTATCCATGGTTTTAGGCCTTCCTTGGGGACCTTGGAACGTATCCTCTGTGGATAACGGAAGACTACTGTGCTCAAATGTAAATGCCTTTTAACATTCATGACACAAAGAAGGATATATAATAAGATCTGTATTGCTATGGTAGTTGTGAGCATTTTAAAAACACGGAAAGTCTCAGAAACCCAACAAAGTCAGATAACGTTAGTGACGTACTAGACAATGCTTAGTTTCCAACGACAATAACCAGTGATATCTTTGTCCAATTTTGAAGACTTTTACAATTTTCCCTCCATCGTATGTGACTTATTACTTCGTCTATCACTTTAAAATATCTTAGGTCAATAATAGATGGGAATTCTGCTTGTCATTATAGCTTGGATATTTGATATTGTTACATGGTGTCCTGTTTGGCAGAATGGAGATCTACTCTTTTTTCAGACATATGCTTGATCTTAGTTTTCATTATTTCTTCAACTACATTTTCAATATTCCTTCCTTTTCATTATAACATAGCACAATACCACATATAAAGAATAGATTTCAGTTAATCAAATTTTTAAAATCACAAAACTGCTTTATAAGAAAAAACACTTCGAAACATGATTTTCTTCACATCTTCCAAATGTTAAAACAAATCAAATTTGAGCATAATCATTTATAGACACACAAACACACACACACAAACATAAATATTTATATTGTACTATGAATAATACGTTGCTTTTTTATACATAAAGATGCTATTACCATTAATATTCTCCGGCTGACAGACTTTAAGATGGTCTCCAATAATCACTGCCTTCTAGAACTCATGTCCTTGAGTAATGCCCTCCCCTGAATGTGGGCTACCCTTGTGACTTGCTTTTAAACTACAGATTATGGCAAAGGTGCGATTTCTGTGATTAGGTTTCAAAAGCTTTGTAAGTTTCTTTTAGTAGATTATCTTGGTTTACTTTTTCCCTTGCTGGCTTTGGTGAAGCAAATTGCTACATCAGTGAGGCCCATGTGGCAAGCTACTGAGGTTGACCATTGGCCAATAACCAACTAGAAAATGAGATTTTCCTCATCAGCATCACCTGAGGAACTGAAAAAACAAACAAAAGACAGGCAATGAGACCCTCAGTCCAACAGTCCAAAAGCAAGTGAATCCTGCCAACAACTGCATAAGTGAGTTTGGAATTGAATCCTTCCTTTACTGGGCCTTCAAATGAGACCCAAAGCCTAGTTGGCATCTTGATTGTAGCCTCATGAGAGATTCTGAAGTCAAAGACCAAGCTAAGCTGTGCCCAGATACTTGACCCAAAGTAGCTATGAGATGATAAGTGGGTGTCATGTCATTCCCCTAAACTTGTCACAATTTACCATACAATATAGATAATAAATATATATTCTTATTTATTTTTCTTACTAGTTTTGAAAAGAAATATACCAATTTAATTAATTGTTTTTGATGTCTGCATCAACTTTTTTAAAAATATACCAATTTAATTAATTGTTTTTCATGTCTGCATCAACTTTTTTAAAAAGTACATTTATATTGTGTATATTTAAGACATACGGCATGTTGTAATGAAATTCATATATGTAGCAAAATGTTTACTATAATGAAACAAATGAACATATCCATCATTTCACATAGTTACCCATTCCTCCCCTGCCCTCTCATGACAGGAATAGCTATAATCTCATTTAGCAAAAATGCTGAGTATAATACACAATTATTAACTATAGACCTTATGTTGTTCCTCAAATCTTTACACTTGTTTATCCTGCATATCTGTGACTTTGTATCCTTTGGACCTAGACTTTTCCATTCCCCCACAACCACTTTTATTCTTTGTCTCTGTATATTTGACTTATTTATTTTTAGAGTCCATGTATAGGTGAAATCCTGCAATAGTTTTCATTCTGTATCTGGCTTATTTCACTTAGCATAATGTGAAAATGCTAAGTGTCATCCATATTGTGGTAAATGGCAGAATCTCCTAATTTTTTAATGCTGAATAATATTCTATTGTGTGTGTTCCACATTTTCTTTAACCACGCATCCACTGATGGGCATTCAAGATGTTTCCATAACTTGGCTATTGTGAATAATGTTAGAATGAACATGAGAGTGTAGACATTTTTATGATTTTATCTCCTTTAGGTATAATTCCAGAAACGGGATTCCTGGGTCATTGATAATCCTATTTTTTTAAAGGAACTTCCATACTGGTTTCCATAACGCTGCACCAATCTACATTCCTACCAACATACACTAACTTTTTGGCATTCAGTCATTTTTATTTTTTAACATAATTTAATTTTATTTAGATTTTTTTTTTTTTTTTTGACGGAGTCTCTCTTTATCCCCTGGCTGGAGTGCAATGGCACAATCATGGCTCATTGCAACCTCAACTTCCTGGGCTCAAGCAATCTCCCACCTCTGCTTCCGAAGTAGCTGGGACTATGGGTATGTAACACCACACACAGCCTTTTTTTTTTTTTTTTTGTATTTTTTGTAGTGACAGAGTCTCCTTATGTTGCCCAAGTCGTCCCCCAAACTCTTCAGCTCAAATGATCCTCCTGCCTCCGCCTCCCAAAGTGCTGGATTACAGGCATGAGACAACAAGCCTAGCCCATCATTTTCAAATGGATCCTATCTGTTTTAAACCTATAAAATAGGGAAACATTCACTACTATTATATTGTAGTCATGAAGAAATCATGTGTACAATTTTCCATTTACTAATGTGATCAAGTCCTTATTAAAGTAAGACAAATTTGATACACAGGTTTCATTTCAATATGTTAAAACTTTCATAAATCTGATTAATAGCAGAATGCAATGTATAGGTATTCTATAAAAGAAAAAATATTTTACTTATATCTAGGCAGTCCTATACTTGAGTATCAGTGTGTAATAGAGAAGAAAATATGAAGTAACATTTTGAGTTCTTCAGCCTGTCATAGCATTTTTACACAGATGAATAGCTTTTAAGATATCAAATCTTGCTAGGAATTCCAGTTTCCATGTGTATGATGACTTGTGGAGAGCCTTATTACCTCAGTAATATTAAGAAACATTGATGCTCTTATCAAAGCCTAGCAGTTTTGCAGAAATTGAATACACTATTAATTGAAAATGCTGAATCACTGATTTCTTTTACATTTTTGCTAATACATTATATTCAGCCATGGCTCCTCTATCTTAATATAGTCTGCATATGATAAATTTTATGCTCCATTTGAAAATATATGAAATTTTAATAGATAGCATTTCACAACTGGTCGATCCATTAAGTGGTTTAAAAATGCATGTGTGCTGGAACACCAATACCAAACAATATGTAAAAATTCTCAGCCTTTAGCAACGAGAAAATTTTCTTTTAAGACAGGAAAATCTGGCTCAGGAAAAAGAAAATAAGTTTCATTTTATAAAAAAGAATGTTTACATTCTATAATGAAAACAATGTTCCAGAAGGAGAAAAAAAATCTCAGTATTAAAAATGTGCACGCCTATTACAAGATGTCTCAATGGAAATTGACAAGGAAAATTGCTGGCAACCATCTGAATGACTCTTAACAGTATTCATTCAAATGAGGTATGAATCAGGTCAAGGGATTTGCATGTGTTATTTAATGTCAAATAGGGAACAATGTAGTCACAATATCTGGTAGTTATTCATTTAATATCTATTCACAGAGTGCTTACATTATCCCCAGTTTTTAAATGTTCATGTTATCAAGTTGTTATCTTCAAAAAGGAAAGAAAAATTAAAATATTTTCAGATTATTGATTTACATAATTTATAGGCTATTTTTTAAATTTAAAACTTTTTTTGACAATTTAATAAAAGTGAGGTTAGGCCAATGTTTGTTTATTATGTATATCCAGGGTAGTTATGCCACAATTAGATATAGGGATTAAAAGTTTAAATGAGATGAATTTAAAGCCTTTTATAATTCTTAATGTCTATTATTACAAACTTTCTAAAATGTAAAATATATAGCAGAAGTAGACGTCCTGTGAACTTAAGTACATACACCAAATATTAAGTTAAAATTTATTTCAGGTGCTTGATGCCAATTAACTAATTTAACCTAATTTTCTACTTAATTCACTTATTATTTTGACATTCTACAAAACATTTTATTTTAATTTTATTATCCTGAAAAGAAAAATGGAGAATGAAAATACCAAAAGAAATGATCCATATCCATTACATTGTCAATATGTATATATATTTTCATTGTCAATATTCAATAAAACAAAATATATTTTGTTAGAAATATTTTCTATATTTTCAGAAGCCCTCATTGACTTTTAATAACAGCCTTTTCCTTGCTCATTTCTGGTATTTTCATCCATTTTTTCATAGCCCTTCTGTCTTCCAACATCCCTGCTGAGAAATGAAAATGTTTTCTGAAAAAAAAAGAGACTTTTCAGAACAGGCTGATGGATGATTTCTTTTTAAAGGCTCCCTGAAGTGTGCTCTGTAAATTAGTGAAAATCAATATTCTCTCACAGGAGACCAAAAGCTTTCAGATCATTAGGAATACTTCAATTTCTAACAAAATTTTAGATTTTTTAATACTCTTATAATAGCTTTCACAGTAGTATCTTTTATTCATATTACTCATTTACTCTCTGTGGACACAGCTGAGAGTGTTGCCCCTGGGTGCAACATCCTGTCTTTTTTGCAGAAAAGCATTCCTGATGATTTAGCAACTGTCTTGAGTTTTTGTAGTATTCAAATACAATAACTTCTTTTTCCATACCAGTTGATGCAAGGAAGAATAGCCAAAACTCTTTAGGAAAAGCACCTCTATTTTGTTTCTGAGAAATGGAACGCCATTTTCTATCAAGAGTCAAGGAAACCAAAACAAGTCTTTAAAAAATTCTACCCTAAAAAATACATTTTTGGTTGGTTTCATACTACTTAGACCTTGTCAGAATTCATATATAGGAATGAGATTATTGTTCATTTTATAATTACTTAATTACAAGTGTGGTAACCATATGATCCTGAACCTAAGGGATGATGCTTGTATTTTAGTTAGCCCATCTAGTATATAGACAAATAAACTAGTTCATACTCACATTACAAAGCACATTGCAGCCACATGCACTCACACATACACATACACACACAAGACTGATAAATCTGATAAAAAATAAGTTTTTAAAAAACTTATAAAATGAATATTGTAATGTTTTATAAAGTAATGTTTAATAATTTAATTTATTTTAGGAACTTTATCTTTTTAAATTTATTTAATACTAATTTGGAACATTCTAAGAAAAAAATATGCTAAACACTAAATTAGCTGCTTACTGACGCTGATTTTAATGCTATTTTTAATTCCAGTTTGTTGACAAACTGCAGTCCAACTCACCTCCAGTTTTTAGAAGTAAAGATTTCAAGAGCATATTCGTGCACACTTATTTAAATATTGTGTATGACCAATTTTCTGTGAAAACATCAGGATGAAGTGTTGTAACAGATACTATCTGGCCTGCAAAACTGAAAATATTTATCACTTGGTCCTATTAACAATTTAGCTTCCATTAAAGAGTTAGGAGGATGGTGTCATACAGGATAACTTCCAGGACACAGGTAATCAGCAAAGAAAAAGAGAATTAGAGGAAAACACAACACTGAATCAGGGGAACACATCAAAGAGTAAATTGCAATGTAAATATATTTATTTATAGGCTTAATGTCAGAAAGTTGGCTACTGTATTCTCTGTGAAGATATGAGTTTTTCTGCTGCTGGAGGACAATTTGTAGAGTTAGATATTTAAAGAAATTGGAAAACGATTAAAGTAGCTATGGTGAAGAGTGTGATAGAAACAGATACTTGTCCTACAAGACAGGACAAAACTGAAGTTAAAACCCCTGAATTTAAACTGGTAAAACCTTTAAAGTTACATGATTTACTGAAAGAGTATTCAGTAAGCTCAGAATAGGCTTACAAAATGCAGAATAACATACCTTAGGAATTTCTCAGGCCTAGAGTTTTGCCCAGTAAATTCAAAGACAATAGGGGATGAGGGATGACATTCTTAACACATAAGGGTTCTTGAAGCGATGTGCCTCTGTACCTAAGCTGGAAAGCTGAGTTCATACTAAACAGAAAGTTGATTAGACAACAGTAACAAAACAAAACAAAAAACAACATAAAACATAGGAGATCACAGAATCAGAGTTCTCTCTAAAGTGAAGCGAAGACATAGGGATAACCAAATGAGAAAGAAAATAAAACTAAAATATGGAATGTTTATACTTGATATTTCAAAAACCTAGGGTCTCAATGTTATTAGAAAGAACCAAATGTATCATTGAAAATCAATATTCAGGGAGACTCAGAGAATATGAGTGCATTATGTAACTGAGTGTCTGGGAGCTGTTTAATATTCTAGATGAATATGAAGTCAGCAAGTCTGATTTGAAGATGGCAAGTCTGATAGAAGATAGAGAGTCATAGTTCCACAATCAACAAAAATGAAGTTAAGGTTACTGGAAAGCAATGTGATGCAGCTGAGTAATATGGTTGGGATGTTTGTCCCCTCCAAATCTCATGTTGAAATATAATTTCCAATTTTGGAGTTGGGGCCTAGTGGGAGGTATTGAATCATGGGGGCTGGATCCCTCATGAATGGCTTCATGTCGTCTCCTGAGTGATGAGTGAGTTCTCACCGTTAGTTCATGCAATGTCTGGTAGTTTAAAAGAGTGTGGCACCTCCCCACTCTCTCTTTTGCTCCTGCTCTTGCCATGTGATGCTTCTGCTTCTGCTTTACATTCTACCATGAGTAAAAGCTCCCTGAGGCCTCGCCAGAGGCTGAGCTGATGCTGGTGTCATACTTTATGTACAACTTGCACAATCTTGAACCTGTTAAACATCATTTCTTTATGAATTACCAAGCGTCATTTTTTTAATATAGCAAAGCAAAACAGCCTCATACACTTAATGCACTGAGTGACTTTAACTCCAATGGGGCTGGGCTAATTTATAAGATGATGGAAGAAGAGAGATCTAAAAGCAGCACTGTGTCAAGCAGAACTCAGTGCCCACCTTTTTGAGAGGGCATCAGTAGGAGCAGCATAACTAGTCTCAGTTACAGCAGAGAGATATAAGAAGTTAGGAGTCAGAATTGATTTATTAAGGAACATAATTTCTAGAGTTTACGTTGGAATTATTTGGGTGTAGATAATAGGGTGTTTGGTTGACAGGAAAGGAGTTATTGACCCACATGGAAATGCAAATGTGGAACAGACTCCCTCCATCCAAGGAGGACTTCATCCTGGTTAATCAACACAGATAACAGAAATGTAAATCATGGTACTTTTAACTGGCAATAGCATTTCCTAGAGTATTAGTCTAAACAGAACCCAGGTGAATTAGAGCATAACAGGATGTTTAGAAGACTCCCCAGCAGTGCACTTGTTGGGCTGTACCTCTGGCAGTTATGGGGAGTCTAGTCCACATGAGAACAGTATTTGGATTCATGGTTTGTTCTAGGTGTATAGTTGAGCCCATCTTACTGCTGCTCACATTCAGGCTTGCAGGGTTACAGCCCTCATTCTTTCATATGATTTTTCTGATTTTAACTGTACATTTTTAATTCTCCTTTTTCCATGCATTGATTAAGTTCGGCGTGACAAAATATTTATTTAATCATAATTTTTATTTGTATGTGATACTGTGGTTTTGCCTCTTTTCATAAAACATTATCTATACACTTTAATCCTCACTGCAAACTAGCACACTTTCGCCATATTTTGGCAAAATGTGTTTGGATGCCTAGGAGAAACTGATAGGTCTAGTTACTTGTTACCTTCCTACTTAAGCCACAAAAGTAACTGACAGTCCATGACAACTCTTAGGACAAATTATTCTGGTGCACTGTATACAAAGCATTGCTTCATATTATAACAAAGCCTGAAAGTATGGCACATTTTATGATAGAAATATTCAGATCAAAGAAAAAAGGAATAATATTTTGAAATGTATTCATCGTGTACTTCAACCTCAACACAAATTGAGAATCCATGTTTTTTTTTAATTGAGGAAATAGATAAATAGTTCTAGGCCAAAGAACGCATTAAGACTTGCAAAATGTTTAATTTTACATCCACTATATGGCCCTTTATCTGAGAACAATGTAATAAATTAAGAAGATAATAATACATGTTATCAATCTCCACATAGAGGTGGAGAAGGTAATTTTTTCCTGGAAGTTATTGCCCACCTGCTTATTCTGATAGAAAGTCAACCATAATCCAACCATCACTAAAATTTTAACCTCTTCTATTTCTGGAAACATAAACCCAATCCTAGATCTTTTTCAGAACATACATTTTAAAATAACTTCTATCCAGCACATACCTGAAACTTGTTAATTTTTGAGAATTAGTGCCTGAAAAATTTGCCACATATTTATTTTTCTAAGTATTCTACCTGTTTGTTTAAGGAAGGCTATCAGAGAACTCTATACCTGGACAGCATCTTGCTGTCTCTATCCAAATACACTTACTGAAATGCACCTTAATTATTATGTCAGAAACTTCCTACGACTTTCATAGAGTTCTGTGAGAAAATTCTCTATGACTACAGAAAACTATTTCCAATACAAGGCTGTTAGTGAAAAAAATATTACATTTATTGCTAAGATTTCAACTGATAATAATAAAAGATAAAATTTTTACCATGACATTTAAAAAATTTCATGTACACTAAAATTCATGTAACAGATGTTGTAGAAAGTAAAGCTGCATACACAGAATTTAAAATAAGTTTATTTTGTTTAGTAAAAAAAAATACAGGAAAAAATTAAAAAGTGAGGATATACAACCCAAAGGAGTAAATCTTCAACTTCCTGAGTACCAAATACAGACCATTTTACATGGATTCAATATAGGAACTTTCTGTGATAGACTTTCCACACTGCCACCAAGAAACTCTTCCTGAGCACAGAGCTAAACTACTTTTCTTGGCCTCTCTTTTAGTGTGTTATGTCTAGATCTCTGCTATGAGATATTTGTCAAAGGGATGTGTAACCTTTCTAGGTTAAGTTTTCTAGGAAGCAAATATGTTCCTCACAGACTTTGTTTCCTTAGCTGTGCAGTATGGGCAAAAAGTAGACCTTAAGGGATGGCAGAACTATAAATAAGAAGGATCTCCGGTCTTTAAATTACCACTGTCTCCATTCCCCCACCACCCATCCAGTTTGTCTTACCATTAACATGTGGGCCTTGTGAATGCAAAATTAACGATATAATATAATGAAAGCAAGATATACATTTAAATATTATGCATGTTATGTTAATGAAAGATATGATTTTATTTTGACATGGCCTCAAATTTTTGGATGACCTTTTTAATCATAACTAATACATTATAAAGTTTATTTTTTTAATCAAAATGGAAGTGAGAGCTGGTGATGCTATGGGTAAGGGGAAAGGAGACCTTATGACAGGCAGCTCTATCTTTTATAAGGTATGATTCTTCCTTCACTGGCCCAATTTCTGGTCATGGCACACTAGAAAAGCCTTAATACAAATAGTACTCAGAAAGTCTTCAGTGATTTTCATTGCTTAGAGTAAGCAAGTTTTTAATGTTAGCTGCAGATGAAACTAGTTATTTTTTAAAATAATAATTATAACCAAATTAAAAGGCCAGAATTACACCTATTGATGAAAGCTTTGTTTTTTTCTGTCTTAAAATATTTGTTTCATGTTACCTTTAGAGTCATTTTTTTTTCTTTTGTTTCACAAACGTCACACTTTTGTCCATGTTTTTCTATTAGCTGCCCGTATACAAAAATATAAGAAATAAATCATTCAGTTTCTTTTGGTAATTACAACATCCCACAACTCTCCTATATAATGAAAAAGTGGTAGGACAGAGGGTTATGTAGAAATATTGAAAACCGTGTATCTAAAACTGGCAGGGCTCAATGTCCTTCTGCCCCGAACAGGATGACCATCGTGTGGCTGACTTGAGTTCAATAAACCAGATAAAAATATCAAGAGAGAAGTCCTGAGGAAATAAGGAGAATAAATATAATCCAAAGAATGAATGAAATCTGAGAGAAAACAGGATTATGACAAAGACCATTGTCTTTGGATAGATAACTCAAAATTCATCCTGCAGACATTTTCCAGTGAATGCTAGAAATCATGACATTGACCAATAAGGAAAGGCAAGCAATCCTGACAGAGCGCAGTGCTTGCCCGTGAAGTCAGCTGCATTCAAATAGGCACAGTAATACACAGTAAGTGGTATTCACTTATTTTCAATTTTTACAATCAACTTAGAGAACAGTCATGGAATATTTTTAAATGGTTAGAACTTTGACAAAATAAAATTATAGCTACAGCTGTGAGAGTCTGAAAAAAAGACAATGAGGAGAAAGGGTGGGCATACTACAAAATGAGAGAAGCACAGCCTGTGGTACATGTAAAAAATAGGACTTTAATTACACTCTTTGAGGATGTCATGAGAACCTGGAAGGAAACCAAAAGTGTTAATATGACTATCTGAATTGAAGAGGATGCTAAAGAAAGGTGGAGAGTAGAGCAAAATTTAGTAAAATCTTTATCCAGCTCGTGGGAGAAAGCCAAAGACATATATATATATATATATATATATATATATGCATATATATATATATATGCATATATATATATATGCATATATATATATATATGCACATACGTACACACACTTGTGTGGGTCCTTCAAAGCTTTTCGTTATAAATTAAGAATTAACTATTATAGAACTAAGAAGTGGACCAAAGTGCTCCGAGTAGTTCAGTGCATGGTGAGCGAGCATTGACAGGCATCTTGATTTTCAATGTTGTTCTATTATAATTTTTTTTCTTCTCTCTTTTTTTTTTTTTTTTTTTTTTTTTGAGACAGAGTCTCGCTCTCTCGCCCAGGTTGGAGTGCAGTGGCGCAATCTCGGCTCACTGCAACCTCCGCCTCCTGGGTTCAAGCGATTCTCCTGCCTCAGCCTCTCGGAGTAGCTGGGACTACAGAAGCCCGCCACCACGCCCGGCTAATGTGTGTGTGTGTGTGTGTGTGTGTGTGTGTGTGTGTGTGTGTGTGTGTGTGTGTGTGTGTGTGTGTTATATTTTTAGTAGAGACGGGGTTTCACCGTGTTAGCCAGGATGGTATCGATTGCCTGACCTCGTGATCTGCCCGCCTCGGCCTCCCAAAGTGCTGGGATTACAGGAATGAGCCACCGCGCCCAGCCATTTTTTTTCTTCTTAAATTATGGTAATGCATTTCTTTTATCATTCTTACTGGGAAAAGATTGGGAAGGAAGTTACATGGATTCACATTTTCTTGTTTAATATAAGGAAGATCTTTGAGAGATAGTCAGTGAGGCCTAGGTTGTTTATAGTATATGTTCAACCTCCAACATTTAGTATTTGCGTGAGAGAAACCCACTCTTTGTCCTTCAAGAGCAACTTTAGCCTACAGTTGGCTATAGATAATGAACAACTATAACTTTAGTATATATAGGTAGGCAATATTTTGTATATGTAAGAGGAGACCAATATTATTTTGAGAACTTACTAATTGTAACCAATAACATTGAAATATATAGATAGAAATATACATATATGATTTGTTTTAGTTAAAACTCACTAAAATGCATATTCCAAACAAAATATATGGTCAGAGTAGCTTAATTCTGGTTTTTTTTCTCTTTCATTTCTAATAGACCTATTTCTATTTCTGAGACCTATATCCAAAAAAAAAACTTGCTAAATTAATCTGAGCAAAAGGAAACCAATAATTCCAGGGTAGTTGAGGGAAAAAGGTGGAATTAATAAAGATAACTAAGACAATATAAGTATAGAATAACTAGCCCAGCTAAAGAATGAAGAGGCCTCCCAGAGGCTTTGTGCTTCCCAGCTATTAAATAGGTTTATATGCGCCACTGTTAATTAAACCAAGACCCTCAAATTAAAGATATCACATTCTCATTATCACAGTTAGCCATTGTTAGGCTCAAGGGAAAATTCTTTTCCTAACAACATTTATTTTGAAAACCACTCACATAATACATATTTGATTGACTTGTTGGCTGATTAATTCAGGTGCAGATTTTTTTCTTCTTCAAACGCTAGTTTGTTGTAAAGTACATTAACAAGAGAGGCTTGCTTACTCTTGCCAGCTTGATTGAGTTGTACTACTGCTCTCTCTTCAGATAATTTAGTGATAACAAAAGCAGAGAGTGTGTTCAACCTAAATATTAGGAATTGATTCTATTAAAATAGATCTGTAATGGCTTAATAGATTGCAGCTGTGTGTATTGGTGAATTAATGATGTTTTCTTCAGTAGGGCACTAGAAAAACTCGCTCATATTTTTTCTCAACCTTGTATTAAGATCATCTAGATTTTGCCTAATGTCAGACTGCTGTAGCTCAAAAACTAAAAAGTAAATTTCTCTTACATTCATAAGTGATTCTTTGGTTGAATTTGCTTTAAATTGGGCATGAAATAAATGTATTACTGAAAAAGCAAGGAAACAAAATCTATTACGAACTTGAATCTTGAAATAGCAAATCTTCTATGGTATGGTATTTTCCCTGCTATTGTTTTGCTTTATTCATTGTTAAAACTTCGTTGAAAAGCAATTATGTTGTCCTTTCTTCTTTTATTACTAATAAATTCAATATTAATGTATTTGGCTTATTCTTAAAAGACAGCAAGGATTTTAAGGATTTTAAAGCCTCTGTTGGTCTGGTGACTAGTATATATTGTCTTTTTTACTATCTTTTCACAGATTTCTCTTGCATGATCTCAAATATTCTTAATATCCTAAAATGCACAATTTAAAATTAAAATTTTATTTCTTGATGATTATAAGATGGTCCACTATTAACAACAATTATTTAAAAATGCAAGGAATCAAATTTCCAGTGCTTTCAACCATATGGTTTTTTCCCTTTTGTCTTAGTGCTGTGATTAACTTGTTAAATAAACTGAGGGTTAGTGCGTTTAGTTATCAATTAAGTAGTTTATATACATTTAATATATTTCCATTTTTATTTGTTGTTGATGAAATATCAGATTAGAGATCAGTGTGTTAATGTATACACACACACGATATATGATATGTATATTTATATATGATATGTGATATATAATATATGATATATATTTATAGATATAATATATGATATATAACATATGATATATTATTTGTAGGTAGTATGTTATATTATTAACATACTGTTAATGTTAATGTTAACATTAATAATTATTATTAGTAAAATATAATATATAATAATATGATATTGACAATACAAAATTGTTAATAATATAACATACTATCTATCTATAAATAATGTTTTCTATAAATAATATTTTCTATAAATAATAGTCTATAAATAATATGACTATCGACATGGCAAATATGCCATTGACTTAAAATACCTTAATTCATTTTAAAGACATATATAATATATACAATACATATATTTTATATATATTTATATATTATGTAAATATCTGTCTTTATTATATAAACATTTAAAATTATATAAATATTCATTGTATAAATGTATAAAATACTTATATATATTTTATAAAATATAAAAATATATTTACAGAGATTTATATATATATATCTTTAAAATGAGTTAAGGTATTTTAAAAGTCAATAGCATATTTGTCATTCTGTCAAATGTTCTGAATTTTTAAATCAAACTCATTATAATCATAGAGGTATAGGAGCTTCTGCTCTAACATGATATAAACATTTTTGGGAAAGTCTTTCTGTGGAAGGCTAAGGGAGTCCTCAAATCTCTGAGTCCTTCTAATCAGATCACTAATAAAATTGTAAACAATCAAAATAATAATTAATCAAATAATTATTAATTATAAGTAACAAAATTTCTACTAAATGAAAAATATACCAATACATACAGAATTTACATTAAAACATAGAATGAAAAATGTACTAGTAAATACAGAATTTACATTAAAACATAGAATGTGAAGATGGTTTGGATCAACAGGGATGTGGAGTAGAATTGGATCTGCTTAGTTAGAAGGGCAGGTGAAAGAGAAGGTGAAAGGGCAGGTGAAAGCGAAGGTTCAGGCTCCACATGAAATGCTGTGATGGTAGAGATGAAAGGCTCTAGGTTATTCTCCTGTGGTTGCTTCTCTTGCACACAGCTATAAAATAACCACTTCCAAATCTGAATATAAAGTTAAAATGACCAAAGGAGATCTGTGGATATATAAATATGCCACGGAAGACTGTTTTGACTGGGCTCACTTCTCTCAGCTATGTGAAGGAAGCTTACTTTTGGCTGCTGATTCTTAAAATCTGTATTTTTTTTTTATTTTATCATATCTACAAAGTTCCTTCTGTCATATAAGGCAACATATTAACAGGGTCCAGAAGACAGAATGTTGATGTCTTGGGGGCCCTTTTGAAGGCTACAACAGGATGGGTTAAAAATAAGTGGTGTAAGTTTTTATCAGAAAAAAAGTGAAAAAAAATAGAATAGCAAATTAAAACCAAAGAGAGCAGCAGTAAGTCATAATGAATGTAAGATCAGATATGGATGAAATAAAAGCAGTGATACAGAAGAATATATCGAAGACAAAAGGTGTTTCTTTGAAAAGATTGTAAGTTTGGAAACCTCTGAAAGATTAATAAAGAAGAGAGCAAAAACTCTGAATGTGAAGGATGAAAACAAGGATATCAAAGCAGAGCTTTTGAATATCTAAAAAAGATTGTAATGAGTATATTATAAACAAACTTTAAAACAATACATTTGATCATGTTTATAAATCATTTTAGTTTTATCAGTTTGTCTTAATATATTTTGAAGCTTTGTAAGCTGGTGCATATGCATTTAGTTATAGATGAATTTACTATTTTAACTGGAGAATTCAACACACTGTCTCTCTAAATAATTGTTAGAATAACATTCTACCTGATTTCAAGACTTACATGCAGACTAATCAAGATTGTTTGTATTGGCAGAGGATAAATAGCTACATTAATGGAGAATAATAATAATAATAAAACAGACACAAACCCACACAAATAACACAAATATGCCTAATTTTTGACAAAGTTACCAAAGCTACTGTGGAAGAGATAGTCCTTTTCAAAGCAATTGTTGAAAAGATAGCTTCTTCAACAACAGTGCTTAGACTTCCCAACCCCCCCAAAAAATTATCTGTCTCTTAAGTATACAAAAATTAATTTAAAATGGATAATCGGTTTAAATGTATGATGTAAAACTACAAAACTTTTCGGGAAAAAAGAGGATAAAATATTGCAGGACTTACGGCTAGGTGAAGAATTCCTAGACTTGAACACACAAAAATATAATGATCTATAAAACTAAAAAAAAAATTAGATTTTAATACAATAAAAAATGTTTCCTCTGAAAAACACTACAATATAGACAAAATATTGTCTATATTGTAGTGACTGAGAAAAAAATATTTGCAAGACCCATATCTGACAAAGAACTAGTATAAAGTATTCTCAAAACTTGATTAAAGAAAGCAAAATTCAATGAGAACTTAGGCAAAGGATATGAAGACAAATTTCTTCAATGAAGGTCTACAGATTGCAAATAAAAACATAAAATGATGTTTAACATCATTAGTCATTATATAAAGTAAATTAAAAATAAAGAATAGAATGATCTTTCTAAATTAGAAAATGTTTTGAAAACAAAATTTTTTATTAAAGTATATTCAATAAATTTCAGTCTAAAGGAATAGAAATTTTAGACAATTCATAAGCAGCAATAATTATTTAAGGAGTCATTTCAAGTGAAGGAATGAGTAAGTCTAATGGCTTTTCGTTGAAATATTGATACTATTAAATAGTACATTTTGAAGTAAGTGACTCCTGAGTGCTTTATGGACTCAATTTTTAAAAGAGCTCAAAAGAAAGAATAAATTTCTCAATGTTGCAATAATCCTTAGTGGACAGTGGATTTTAGTAGATATGTATAAAACACACAGACACATATGAATATGTGTATGCATAAGGCAGAATGTAAATTTTGGATGTTTTTGTATATGTGTTTATTTGTCATTTTACCTTTTTTTCTTTAAAAAATAATTTCAACATTTAGATTCAGGAGGTACATGTGCAGATTTGTTACATGGGTATATTGTGTGATGCTGAGATTTGGGGTACAACTGATTCTATCACCCAGGTAGTGAGCATTTTGCCCAAAAGTTTACTTTTTAACACTTTCAACTCTCTCTCCCCTGTATAGTAGTTCCCAGTTTCTCATGTTGTCCTATTGCTGTCCATAATACCCAATGTTTGTGAAGGATCAGATGGCCATAGATGTGTGGCTTTATTTCAAGGTTATTATGTTTCATTAGTCTACATGTCTGTTTTTGTACCAGTACTATATTGTTTTGGTTGCTGTAGCCTTATAGTATAATTTGAAGTCTTTGTTCTTTTTGCTTAGGATTACTTTGGCTATTCAGGCTCTTTTTTGGTTTTATAACGATTCTATAACACTTTTTTTCATTCTATGAAAAATGACATAGAAATAGCATTGAATCTGTAGATTCCTTTGGCATTATGGCCATTTTCACAATATTGATTCTTTCAGTACATGGGCATGGAATGTTTGTCTTTTTGTTTGTGCCATCTGTGATTTCTTTCATCAGTGTTTTGAAATTCTCCTTGTAGAAACCTTTCACCTTCTTGGTAATGGATGTATTCCTAGGTATTTTATTATTTTTGTAGCTATTGTTACTGGAATTGCATTCTTGATTTGGCCCTCAGCTTGAATATTATTGATGTATAGAAATACTACTGATTTTTGCTGGCTGGGCATGGCGGCATGTGCCTGTAGTCCCAGCTACTCAGGAGGCTGAGACAGGAGAACTGCTTGAGCCCAGGAGGCGGAGGTTGCAGTGAGGTGCCACTGCACTCCAGACTGGGTGACAGAGCAAGTCTCTAAAAAAAAAAAAAAAAAAAAAAAAAAAAACTATTGATTTTTGCACATTTATTTTGTATCCTGAAATTTTACTTAAGTTGTTACTCAGCTCTAGAAACTTTTTCACTTAGTCTTTAGGGTTTTCTAGATATGAAATCATATTATCAGTGAAGAAAGATGGTTTGGCTTGTTTTCCTATTTGGATGCCTTGTATTTCTTTATCTTGCCTGATTGCTCTGGCTAGGATTTCCAGTAATATGTTTAATAGGAATGGTGAAAGTATGCATCCTCGTCTTGTTCCAGTTGTCAAGGAGAATATTTCCAGCTTTTGCCCATTCAATACAATGTTAGCTTTGGGTTTGTCATAGATGGCTCTTATTATTTGATGCATGTTCCTTTGATGCCTAGTCTGTCAAGGGTTTTTATCATAAAGCCATGTTGGACTTCATAGAAAGCCTTTTCTGTCTCTATTGAGGAGATCATATGGTTTTTGCCTTTTTTTCTGTTTATGTGGTGAATCACATTTATTGATTTATGTATGTTAAACCAGCCTTGCACCCCAAGGATAATGCCTAGTTGATTTTTTTCATCCTTTCAAAGGACCAACTTTGGATTTTGTTGATTGTATGGATTTTGGGGTCTCAATATCATTCAGTTCTGCCCTGATTTTAGTAACCTCTTCTGCTGGCTTTGCGGTCGGTTTGTTCTTGTTTTTCTAGTTCCTCTGGTGTAATGTTACATAGTGAACTTGAGATCTTTCTAACCTTTTGAGGTAGGCAACTAGTGCTATAAACTAATACTGCCTTTGTTGCATCACAGATACTTTGTTAAGTTATATCTCTGTTTTTATTTATTTCAAGTAATGTTTTTGTTTCTACTTTGGTTTTGTTGTTTATCTAAAAGACATTCAAGAGCAACTTGTTTAATTTCCATGTAATTGTGTGGTTTTGCGAGATCTTCTTTTTATTGATTTCTACTTTTATTCCATTGTGTCTGAGTGTATGTTAGATATAATTTCAATTTATTTGAATTATTGAGATTTGCTTTATAGCTGAGCATTTGGTTGATCTTGTAGTATGTTCATTGTACAGGTGAGGAGAAATGTATATTCTGTGGTTGATTGGTGCAGCATTCTTTAGATGTCTATTAGGTCTAATTGGTGAATTGTCTAACTGAAGCCCAGAATATTTTTGTGAGTTTTCTACCTCAATAATCTGTCTAACACTCTTAGTGGGTGTTGAAGTCCCCAACTATTATTGTGTTGCTCTCTGGGTCTTTTATAAGTCTAGATGTAGTTGTTTTATGAATTGAGGTGCTCCAGTTTTGGGTGTGTATGTATTTAGCACAGTTAAGTCTTCTGGTTGAATTGAACCCTTTATCATTAAATGTTACCTTTCTTTATCCTTTTTTACTCTTTTTGGTTTAAAGTCTGTTTTAACTGATATAATAATAGTGATCCTTGAGTTTTTGTTGTTGTTGTTTTGTTTTCCGTTTGCATGACAGATCTTTCCGCAACCCTTTATTTTTAGCCTGTAAGTATTGTTACACGTGTGATGGGTTTTGTGAAGATAGCAGAGGTTAGGTCTTGCTTTTTTATCCAACTTGGCACTGTGCGTCTTTTAAGTGGGACATTTAGGTCATTGACATTTAGGGTTAATATTGATGTGTGAGGTTTTGATCCTATCATGAAGTTTTTAGCTGGTTGCTATGTAGTTCTGTTGTGTGATTGTTTTGTAGTTTCTTTTGTGTAGTGGCTTTATAGTCTGTGGGCTATGTAATTAAGTGGGTTTTTGTGGTAGCAAGTATTATTCTTTCATTTTCCTGTTTAGAAATCCTTTAAGAATCTCTTGTAAGGTTGGTTCAGTGGTAAAAATTTCCCTTCGTGCTTGCTTGTCTGGAAAATATTTTATTACTCCTTTGCTTATGAAACTTTGTTTGTTGGGATATAAAATTCTTTATTGGAATTTATTTTCTTTAAAAATGCTGAAAATAGGCTCCCAGTCTCTCTTGGTTTGTAAGGTTTATGCTGAGAAATCCACTGTTAACCTGATGGGTTTCCCTTTGTACATGATTTTTTTCTAGCCACCTGTAAGATTTTTTCTTTAGCCTTGACCTTGGACAGTCTGGAGACTATATGCCATGGTGCTGTTCATTTGCATAGCATCTCACAGGTCATTCTCTTGATTTCTTGCCTCTGGATGTGTACCCCTCCCACAGGTCATTCTCTTGATTTCTTGCCTCTGGATGTGTACCTCTCTGGCAAGATTAGAGTACTTTCCTTAAATTATTTCCTCAAATAAATTTTCCAGAATAAAATGTTTTCCAAATAGGATTTCCAAATAAAATGTTTTCATTTTCTTCTTCTATCTCAGTAATGTTAATAATTCACAGGTCTGATCAGTTTACATAATACCATATTCCTAGTAGACTTTGTTCTTTCTTTAAAATTAGTTTTTCTTTATTTTTTTAGAGACTGAGTTAGTTCAAAAGACTGGTTATCAAGCTCTGAAATTTTTTCTTCTGCTTCATCTAGCTTACTGATAAAGCATTAAATTACATATTGAAATTTCTTAACTGAGTATTTCAATTCCAGAATGTCTGATTGATTTCTTTCTCAGATGTTTATCTCCTCATTTATTTCCTGGATTATTCAGAAGTTGTTCTATATTGATGTTCAGCTTTGTCTTGGATCTCATTGAGCTTCCTTGCAGTCCATGCCTTGAATTCCATTATTGTTTGTTTGTTTCTCTTTTGAGACGTGGTCTCACTCTGGTTGCTGGAATGCTGTGGTGCAGTCTCCGCTCACTGTAGCCTTGACCTCATGGGTTCAGGTGATTCTCCCACCTCAGCCTCCTGAGTAGCTGGGACCACAGGTGCACACCCTTACACCCAGCTAATTTTTTGTATTTTTAGTAGAGATAAGGTTTTGCCATGTTGCCCAGGTTGGTCTGGAAGTCCTGGACTCAACCTATCTGCCTACCTCAATCTTCCAAATTGCTGTAATTTGAATGTTTTATCTGTCATTTCTGAGTACCCATTTTGGTTAGGAATTATTGCTGGAGTGCTAGTGTAATCCTTTGGAAAAATCTATTCAGATTGTTCATGATGCCAGAATTCTTGCACTGATTCCTTCTTATCTGGATATGCTGGCATGTCTAATTTTTTGTAATTGTTTTTGTGCTAGTAGAATTTTTTGTTTCTCTTTCTTTTCCAATGCTATTTTTTTTCTACTTTCCCATTCACTGTCTACCCTCCCCTATAAGATGTGACTGTAGAGAATGTTAAGTAGGGTCTCTTGGCTTTGCTTCTATAGTCCTATGTGCTTCTGTCAGCAGGTGTCATATTGGGCTGTGCAGTTTGGTGTACAAGCCAGTAGATGATACTTATGGATAAGAACCAGCTATGGTTAGCAAGGCTGGGTATATACTTAACCCTTGTTCACTGGGATAAACTTTTTGTAGCTCAGACAATGTGCTAATCTCTGGAGTGCACAGAGGTCTGAGCTCACTGTTTAGCCCTGGTAGGGGAGGGGCAAAATGGCCAAAGCCAGACTAGGCAGACCCACCTACAGGTCCCCCAATTGCAGGCACAAGAACTACCACTGAGTAAAAATCCAGTGGGCAGCCCCCGAGTGCCCAGAGGTGTGCCTAGGCATGGAGCTGGTAAAACTCCTTGGCCTCAAGTTCTCTGCACGAGGAGGAGCATGGCCTGAACTCCTAATTCAGGAGAGTGGGTTCTTCAAATACCTGGACATGGCATATAGAGAAGTCAGCTGTATCACAATCTCTGCACAGAATTAGTAGGGGCAGATTAAGGTGTTGGACTGGCAAGCAGGTGCTCTAAATGCCTGGAGACATACTTGCTGTGGAACAGAGGGGTCCCATTGCATCATGATCTCTATGCAGGAACAGAGGGGTTATCAATCTGGGTGAGCAGGTCCTCCAAATACCTGGAGATCTGCCTGTGTATGGGGCAGAAAGGGACTGGCTGCACTCTGGTTATGTAAAAGGAAGGGTGAGTGACTCAGGCTGCTGGACCAGGTGAGCAGGTGCTTGTTTTTGCTACATAAATTTGAATGTTTATTCTCCTGCTTAACTTCCAGAAAAAAAAATGAGATGTTAATATTGATTTCCTCATTCCAGTGAGGAAAGGAGAACTAGGTCATTTGTGTTTGCGTGCCTTAGTTATTTTCGGATGTGTGTTTGAATTTGATTGCTTCTGATAGTAAAAGTCAAGGAATTAGACCTTTAGAGAATAAGAAGGCATACAGTAAGAGGCAGAAAAAGCTGAGAGGTACTAATGTCTACTATGTAAAGATCACTAGCAACACACCTGTAGTTCAAACAGTTGCAGCAAGGGTGTTCACATATCACAAGGAACCATGAGCCATTTCAGTAAGACAGTATTAGGAGAGATATATAATAGGATTTGTGTTTGTGCTGGGTGATTCGGGAAAGATTCCAAGAAGCTGGGGTTTCCTTTGGATAGGATGATGTTAGAAAATTGAGGTAACTCTATTATTGAGTATCATGATAATTATTATGTAGGAGACATGCAAAACAAAACAGGGCTAATATAATTGATAAAGAAGCATCATTCACTCAGGATGGCCAAGAGAGGTGGATATTAGGTCATTTTTAAAACTTGCATAGGTTTCTTGGTTTTGTATGAGCTCAGACATGATTACAAAATGATCTTGTGTTTGTTCTGCTTCAACACATTTAAAGAGTGACATTGACTGATGGTGATTCCTGGAGTTATAGATGTTAAGAAGGGAACATCACAGACTTTTTGTTAGTACCAGGCTGGGTACCAGCTGACAGCTGTCAAGGGTGCCTTTTTTTTCACCTGCCTGAAGCTGCTAGAAGTAATGATGGGCTTCTTGTCACAACTAGAGAAATATTCTCATGCCGAAGAGGGGGAAAAAAAAGCCTGTAGATTTTTAATGCACATTGAATGAGATGGCAGCTATTAATACATGAACCAATAGAAGGGTGGGGATAATAAATACCGACCCACGTAACTTCCCCAGAGATCCTCAAGTTAAAACTGGAGATAGTAGAATTGGATATTGTGTAGGGGGCTGAAGGACAGTAACAAAAGTCATCACAGCAGTGAAGTGTATAAACAAATGGGAAATCACCAATGACTTTGAGCTGCCTCCTTCACTTCATTAACATAAGTATAATTTTAAGCCCCAGGAACCTTGACAGAAACCTTGACAACCAACCGTTGGATGGCTGAGGTGGATTCCTTATGAATTATTTTGTTAGAATCTCTTATATCTCTAGGAGTTGAAGAGATTTGGAAACATAGATTAACTGGTTTCCCAAACAGAAATTATATAACAAAATATTAAAATGTAATTTTGTTTTCCTAAGTTTCAAATTGTGGGTTGAAAGTCCAACCAGATGATTTCACAAGGTGTATATTGGATTATTGACTAAAAATAATTGTAAATAACTTTGGATATATTATTCTATATACAAGTTGTATATCCATTTATAGTTTAAATAATTGATCTGCATTATGTCATGAAGTAGTTTTGAAAAAGTCACTACAAGTTCATGTGTCTTCATTATGACATATCTAAAATAAGATGCATGGACTAATATACCTTCCAAGTGTGTATGCTTTTGTATAAATATATAGAAATTGGCATGCATATTTTATTTCAAATCTTCGTGCATATTTGGAAGAGACACAAGAGACCAAAAATCAGTTCCTCAAAATGTTAAGTTATATTTTGAGTATGTCTAGAGGAAGCAAAATAATTTTTCCACCCATGAACAGTGTTAAAATATTGTTGGCCAACATTCCATAAATAACCCAATGTCTTTTTTTCCCAGTTACAGCTTTATACTTCTTTCCACATTAGATTTATCCTCATTATTTAGATTCAAGACTATTGCAAGATGGGTCAGCAAAATGATTGGGAAATTGCGTCACAAGCCTTAGCAGTGAACCTGAGTTATATGCTCACTGATAGTGAGCCATGTCTTTCATACACTGCATCTGTATGAATTTACAGTGCCATTGCACTGACACATTCTATTTTATCTTCTAAATCTACTTGTGCTATCAAAACAAAATGCAACTAAATGTGTGGCTGAGTTTAGCTACTTGTAATGATAAAGGTGTTATAAAGAAATTGGAGGGTAGAAAGTGTAGGAGGAAAAAGCTGAGAGATATTAGTGGCCATTGTCTAAAGACCACTAGGAACAACACTGTAGTTTTTAAAGTTGCAATAAGACTGGGCGCGGTGGCTCATGCTTATAATCCTAGCACTTTGGGAGGCCTAGTCAGCTGGATAGCTTGAGCTCAGGAGTTCAAGACCAACCTGGACAACATGGTGAAATCCCGTCGCTACAAAAAATACAAATAAAATTAGCCGGGTGTGGTAATGCGCATCTGAGTCCCAGCACACCAAACCTGGGTGACAAAGTGAGACCCTGTCTCAAAAATAAATAAATAAAAAGTTGCAACAGGGGTGATCACACACCATGGGGGACATGAGCCATACCAGTAAGAGGACAATATTGCAGCCTTTCATTATTGCAAACTGCCAGCATCTGTGGAAATTCATTTTTTAGATTTGTCATTCCAGTGTTGGCTTACATTCTTTTGTGGCTGACCGCATTTGATTGATTTTTTTTTATTTGTACACAAATGAATTTTGGATACAATGTAAACACTCAAAGAAATGCTATTTTTAGATCAAAGAAAGGAATGAGAACAGTGGGATTATCTACTCATGTTATCTGTAGAGATTTCTTTTAATTCTGTAATATCAGCAGGAATATCCATGACATCATCCACATGCCTCTACCCACCTCACAAAATATAATCCCCTCTGCCATTATTTCCTTCAGACCATCTGACAAAGTAATTTCTCTGTGTTTCTATATTATATGTGGCATGTATGGTAGACATTAGTACAATTTAACAATATTTCCCGATCTCCTTCTTCCAGACACATAGAATTTTGGCATGCCTTACCTTCTTGATGTTATCTCCGAAGTTGTCTTATTAATGACACGTGTGCCCTTATAGGTAGATACATTTAATGTCTGGTGCTCTACTCTCTAGCCATTCATTCTCTGCTTTGATGATTGTGGAAAATATACTGTGATAAGAAGATGCCATCACACTCAGTGTTCCAACATGCTTGGGAGACTGAGTCTACATATGGATAGAAATTGCCCAAGTATTGACTGAATAAACAGTAGACTTAGAGTTAGGTATACATTTATTGCGTTGAGCCACGGAAACTTGGAGATTGCTTCTTATCACAGCATAAATCAGCCTGCTGTGAATGTATATTCTGCAAACAAAACAGTTTTTTAGGTTAACATTAAATCTAACATTAAGTTACAGTATTTTAAAAATCATTGCTGCACTAATGCTTTTAAAAAGATAATTAGTGAATTAATTAAATGCTCAGCAATGAAAGAGATGATTGGGAATATGTTACCTATATACAATGATTTTAAAGAATAATAGAACTTAAGTTTCCATTATCATTCATTGATTTTATAATGTACATTTTTCACAATGTGGGTACAAAGAAGCTTTGGTCTATACATAGTGACACAGATTACTATAATAGTAATCATAAAATCATGACGATTTTAGTAGAATGAAACAAAGAATGTAAATAAAATTTTTAAAGCAATTTACTATTTTTACCTAGGCTTATTTAAAGAGTTTTGTATAGAATAAGTAATCTTATCTTATTTCTAGCATATTTTCCTTAATTTTAAAGATAACTATTTAGGACACTTACCTGAATCTAGAGGTTAGTAGAAATATTTTTAAAATTAATTCGCTTTATCTCTTTTCTAGTTGAAATTAATACGCGGGACAGTCTGTGAAGAAGACTGCATTTCAGCAATTGTAATGTCACTCTATTAGGCAAATAGTATAGTGCATAGTAACTATACCAGGATTCTATCATATTGGCCATGGTATCTTGAGACATTCTCTCCTAAGTTTCTAGAGGTATGGCTGTTTCCTTCCTTTACTTGAATAATATCAGTTCTTCAGGATTCAAAGTTAATTGCTATTCTTGCTTTCATTCTTATGTTTCAGGCAACGTTTAATTGTCCAGGGATTGATAGTGTTTCAAATTGAGAAGCCACATAGCTTAAGAATATATTCATGAAAATGTTTGCTGACTGTCACCCAAGAGGCTTCACTGAGTGAAATTCTTCATTGAATTTTCTACTCTAGACTAGCTCTGAGCCTAGCAGTCTTGAAAACTTGACGGATTCAGGACACATAGAGTGAATCCATGTGTAAGTTATTCAGCCAATATATCTCATGAGACTAATTTGGAACTCATCTTCCTGCTAATTTTGGCAGGTAACATTGTAAGTGTTGACTTTAATACTTTATGTGTTCTTATTAATGTGTTGTTACACTACCAAACATAATAGTCATGTAAACTAAATTACTTCAATCTGCAATATTAAAATACCTTTTTCCTTCATTCAGGTAGACCTAGGAGCAAAAACAAAATCATAAAGTTTCTTGCTGATTGCTAAGTATCAGCCAAAAGTTAGAGAAAGCTCAAACTAACAGGGCCTTAGGTAAAATAGGAATTTCTTTCTGTCTCTTGTTAAAATAAGGCAGGAGCTACAGGACTGGAATGGTGTTTCTCGGTTTCAGGACACAGACTTCTTTTACTCTGTTGTTGTGCAGTGGTGACCTCATTTCCAAAATGTGCTCCTGGTTCAGAATTTCTATTTCACCTCCAGCAACCATACCCACATTCCAACCAACTAGAAGAGAGAAAGAAAAGAGGCTGGGCATGATCATTCTCTTTAACAATTTTTCTGAAAGTTGCACACACAATTTTTTTTTTTTTTTTTTTTGAGAGACAGAGTCTCACTCTATTGCCCAGGCTGGAGTGCAATGGTGCGATCTCTGCTCACTGCAACCTCCACCTCCTGGGTTCCCCACCCCCCAAGTAGCTGGGATTACAGGTGCCCACCACCACACCCAGCTAATTTTTGAATTTTAGTAAAGAAGGAGTTTCACCATGTTGGCCAGGCTGGTTTCAAACTCCTGACCTCAAATAATCCACCCACCTCGGCCTCCCAAAGTGCTGGGATTACAGGCATGAGCCACTGCGCCAGGCCACATATTTTTAATTTATACTCTATTGGCCAGAAGTTAATCACACGACCATTTCTACCTGCCAGGACGCTAGAAAATAAAAACTACAGTCTGAAAAGCCATGTGTTCAGCTACATTTTAGGAAGACAAGGGCTTTTAGGGGACAATAAGTATGGTCTTGAAACAAGAATTTTATCATTTAAACTGCAGTCATATAGTCTAATATGTAGAATGAGGATCACTTGACAGTTAGATTGAGCTACACTGAAACCTTGGTCAAGATGGCATGTATCCTACCAATTGCTCAGATTGGCGCTGCTGACATGAAGTTCTATTCAAAGCTTCCATGGGTAACCAAGCTCCCTTTGGACCACCAGATTTTAACTGTACACCTGTTTTTGTTGATGTCGTTGTTTTGTTTTGTTTGCTGTTTTTTTGGTGGCTGTGAGCTTGAATTTCATTATTGGAAAGGGGAGAAACAATATTGAGTCTTTCCAAAAAAACAAAACAAAATTTACCTTCTTATATGCAATTTCCTATACTGTAGAAAAAAGAATGTTAGAACTATATGTAAATTTTATAGTTTTTTAATTTTAAATGTTTGACTTTTATGTATACTTTTCTATTTTTTTTGTTTTCTATACTTTCCTATTTTATAGTAATAAAGAATTAACACTCCTCTAGCTAATAGGATTTTTACTCCATCCAGGTAAATTAATACTTCTAGGCATTTTATTCTCACCTTTTCATTTTTTATTTTATTTTTTTTCCTTAGGCACACATTTATCTTTCTCCCCAATTGTACAGGTAAGTCAGATTTAGAGAAGAAAAATCGTATATATATACAAATTGTGTGTGTGTGTGTGTATATATATACATATATATACACACACACACATATATGTATTTTACCTAATATTTGTATTTTACCTAATATTTGGCAATCTTAGAAATATTTAAGACATTTAATCTTTGAAAATATGAAGAAATATACTTCAATTGTTTCTTTTTCTAGTACCTTTATACCAACAATAACAAATACATAGTTGCACACATAATATTGTAATTTTAAAGTTGATTTTGTCACTGTGAAGTCCCTTGTGTGTGGATGTATGTGTATGTGTATGTAAAAATAATTTTCTAAACACACAATTGCTAAATTATGTATCACTTATCAAGCAGCAAAACAACTGAAATATAGGTGGAAATAGAAAAGTATATAAAAGTCAAATATTTAAAATAAAAACTATAAAATTTATATAGAATTTCTAACAGAAGAATGATGCCACAATTAGAAAATTTCTAAAAATTATTATTATCATTTTTTTATTTTTGAGACAGAGTCTCGCTCTGTCACCCAGGCTAGAGTGCAATGGCATGATGTCAGCTCACTGCAACTTCTGCTTCCCGAGTTCAAGCGATTCTCCTTCCTTGGCCTCCCGAGTAGCTGGGATTACAGACATGTGCCACCATGCGCGACTAATTTTTGTATTTTTGTATTTTTAGTAGTGACAGGGTTTCACCATGTCATCCACGCTGGTCTCAAACTTCTGACCTCGTGATCCACCCGCCTCAGCCTCCTGAAGTGCTGGGATTGTAGGCGTGAGCCACTGCATTTATTGATTTCTTGAAGTAAGTTTGCTGAAGTTGCAAACTTGGGGTTAAGCATTCAGTATTAGAGACGACAAGTTGCTGAATCAGAGAGACCTTCATGTTTGCTCTGCCATTTAAATATGAGCTCAACTAATTACTTTAATGACTACATTAATTTTGTAGAAAAGAAAATATATGTTGATTTATTATAAGAATTAAGGGAGATGATATATAAAAAGTCCTCTGCAACAGATCTAAGCAATAGAAGGAAGAGTCCTTTCTTCAAGGTCAACTTGATTATTGTTATTTTGGAGTAAAAGTTACAGACCTGTCTTAAGGTTATAGATGAAAATAAATGGAAATGTATTCTATTGGAATATTTAAAGCGTTGTATTTATCTGAAAAATTGTGGTTTTTTGCATGTTATATTTTATACTCTAGATAAATAAGTAGCAGGGTTGTTGCTGTTATTATTATTGTCGTGGTTTGCATAATTTTGCAATACCTAGCATTGCATTACAGAAAAACATTCGCCTTGGCATTAGGGTACATAATAAATGAGCAAGATGTGATTTCTTCATGTAAAATGCCTGTCCTCAAAAGAGAAATGTAAACTGGTAAATGATCAATTGTAATATAATATAATAAGTGCTATGGTCAAAAGAATCAGAAAAAAAGTCAGAAGTCAGTTAACATTGGAGATAGGGCTTCATTTTGAATGGTGGAGAACGTGAGGAAGCAGTTTTAGGCAGAAAGAACAATCTATGCAGAAGCACAGTGAAATGAAAATAAGACAAGTAGATATTTTAAGTGACTGCAATATAGGAACAAACCATAAGGAAGACACTTATGAAGATCATACTGGAGATAAATACTGAGATCAGATTATAAAGGGTCTCGTATGTTTTTAAAGTAATTTATACTTTTTTTATTTGGGCAATGTTTATGGTGTCATGCATAAACATTGAAGAAACTTTCTTAATTGTTTACTTTTCAAAAAAATTACTCTGGCATTAACATAGAATAGGGATTTTAATAATGGAAGACATTTAAAAAGAGAGACAATAACTCAATAAATTGGAACAGTAGTTAACGGTAGTGTCAAACAGGATTGTTAAGAAATTTGGAACTAGGTTCCCAGAACATGGAAAATGAAGAGATAAACATCCACATATTCTCTTTCAAATTCAGTCTATGTAATGCTCAATTAAGTAGCTAAGAAAATTTCACCAAATGTAATGCTAAAATTGTGAATATTTTTTAAAAGATTTCTTAATCGGGAAGAAAGACAAATAAAATTGTGAAAATACTACTTCTTCTAAGGATGTTAAATTTGTTGAAGACAGAAAGCAATATAATTACAAAATAAAGTGCATTTCTTTGCCAACAATTGCTAAAGTGCATAAAAAACAATGCAAAGAATTTGACGGTGTTAGAATAAATTACAGTAAGAAAGATTTGCTAAGCAGTTGCGGTATGTTCAGATATTCCTAGAATATCTGTTTATGGCATTTTCTCAATTCATTTTCAATAACAAAATACTTTAAGAATTTTTTTTGATCTATTAGAAGAATGAGGTACCAGAGAAAAAATACAAAGACTTTAAAACAAAAATTAATGCTTGGGTGGAAACTATGTACAGATATTATTGATGAAGTGATTACTTTAGCTTGAAAAAAATTAAGAGGTTAGAGAATGTGATCATAATGAATACTAAAGCACTATCTGTGATTTAATTTTCAATGAATTATTCATAACATAGTTAATAAAGAAAAGTGCACAAAGTGCTGAAAGGACATCATTGCAGAGTATACAAAAGTTCGCGCAAGCCTAAATACAAATTTCGCATTTTACAAAAAGGTGTAAGTCCTGAATAGGTTGGGATCTATTTCTTTTAAAATTACCTGCTTTATGATATATTTCTGACAAACTTTTTCATCCAAGAAATAGATGTCAGAAATATATCATAAAGCAGATAATTTTTAAAAAATGCATACTTTTTTCTTTAAGGTAAAAGCAACTACTTTTCAAGAGAATTTTTGTGTTAAGGAGAGAGCATTTTGAAAAAAGAAAAAGATTGTAAATATTTTCATCAGTTGGAAGACACTTCAGTAAGGCATGGAGTCTCCACCTGCATAAAGGCTGTACCACATTAGTCTTAATACGTTTAGTTTTAAGTAAACATGCAAGAAATATGCAGGGATATTTTGGTATTGTTTCCAGTCATTTGTACCCAATGAGAATGCAATATGTGAGGTCAGAGTCTCTATTATAGGAAAGGAGGGAAGATAAGCAATAACCAAAACAAACCCAAAATACATTGAAGTTAAACTTCATGAAAATCGAGGTAGGCACTTCACTTCTGTCAGGTGGTGTCAGGAGCATATGAGTATCTTTGGGGTCAGTTGTGGAGCCAGGGAAGCTTGCCCTTTAAATCATGAGTGTTCTGATTTGGTGGCCATTGTTACACACATATGTTTTTAATCTTTTACCTAAAGGAACCAGTATTAATCTCTTTTAATTATTTGCAATTCCCTGCAATCACACACTGATTTTGATATCAAAGATAATATGAATATATTACTTACAAAAATCTCACAATGGAAAACTATTAAAATGATAAATATTCCAGTTTCTTTTGAATTTTTTTGTGTAAATTTTTTTTTTTGGAATTACATACATTTGCTAAAATTATTAAAATGTAACTCATTTTGATTTGTTCTTGCTATGGCCTGAATATTTGTCCCCTGCCCCCCTTATTCATATGTTGAAATCTCAACCTCTAAGGTGATGATGATATTAGGAGGTTGAGGTCTTTAGGAGGTGATTAGATCATGAGAATGAAGCCCTATGAATAGGACTAGTGACCTTATAAAAGGGAACCCAGAGAACTACTTTGTTCTTTTATCATGTGAGAACACAGTGAGAAGGCTCTGTCTTTAAACCAGGAAGCAGATGCCATAGTTTGTGTCGCCCAAGAGTTTGCATGTTGGAGACCTGGAGACCTGGCTACTCAATGCAGCAGTGTTGGGATGTGGAATCTGGTGGTAGGTGTGTGGATTGTGGGGGCAAAATGTTAATGAATGAATTAATCCAAGTCTCAAGGGACTGGGTTAGTTCTCACAAGAGTGGGTTGTTATAAAATAAATTAGGCTTCCTCAGCTTCCTTTTGTAATTGCCTTCTCACAATGTGAATATCTTCTCATGCTATGATGTAGTAAGAAGGCCCTCACCAGATGCCAAGCAGATGTAGCCTCCTGACCTTGGACTCTCCAGCCTCCAGAACTGTAAGAAATAAATATATTTTCTTTATAAATTACCCAGTTTATGGTAGTCTCTTACAGCAACAAAACTAGACTAAGAAAGAGGACCCTCACCAGACACCAAATCTGCAAATACCTTGATCTTGGACTTCCCCGCCTCTGGAACTATAAAGAATACATTTATTTTACATTTTTTAATTTTTCTATTTCCATAGATTATTGGGGAATGGGTGGTGTTTGCTTACATGAGTAAGTTCTTTAGTGGTGATTTGTGAGATTTTGGTGCACTCATCACCTGAGCAGTGTACACTGCACTCAAGCCACATAGTTTATGGTATTTTGCTGGGGCAGTTTGAACAGAAGTAACAGTTCTTAAAGAACAATGGATTTGCATCAGGGAAGAGAGTAATTTTTGAGCTTAGTTTCAAAAATTTCTCAATACAATTTTGCATAGTTGATAAATATGACTTAAAGAAAGTGTCATTAATTAGTATAATGAAGCCAATCAGGTACTTACTCCATTAGAATCAATGTATTTTGATATCTTTCTCATCTATGACAGTCATTAAAACCAAGTAATGATGTGAAATGAATGTAGAATTAGATATTAGGATCACAGTATCATATGAAATAAAACCAGAATTTTCAGATAGAACTAAACATATTCAATTATATTGACCTTTGACACTATATAAAATAAGGTAAAATGCATTGAAGATTATTGTTTTTATCTACTTTTTGACTTTATTTATATTTGTTCCACAGTATCATTGTAGATATCCACAGTGGTACAAAACTAGAGAATTTATACATATATGAATATTTCATGTGTAAAAGATAATAATATAGCTCTATGAGTCAAAATATATAGAGATGATTATTAGAAAATTGGGCCAAATCTCGAAATTGACCGATGGGTTAATCAGAGTAATCAGTAGGTTTTTCCCACAGTAAAATATAAATAAATAATGTTATGATAGATAGTTACAAATGACTGAGCTGTGGGGCTGAATTTTAGACTTTAGGTTTCTCAGATGGCATGATATGCAGTAATATATATCTCAATTATAACCATAAGATATTTAGCTTTATGATGCCATTCACTAAAATGTAAAATATTGGAAGTGAGTCAGATGGAGAAATGTTGAATATTTTTAAAAAGTATAATATATTTAGAAATGTAGTCACTTCTGCTTTAATGTGATATATGCATTCCTAAAAGTCACAACACTGTAAAAAACACAATTTACAAAATGCATATGGGGAAAATGTGGTTAAGAGGACATACACTCCAAATTTCATTAAGGACACATTAAAAATCTGATAGAAAATAATAGCATTTATACATATCATATTGTTAAGAAATACATAAATACCACAGTAAATATGGCACTTTATCTTGAAAAACACCTGAAGTCTGCTTGTAGAAGTGGGCACTGGGAGAATTGCAGGTGGACATGTGTGACTTACTGTGGATGGGTTGGAAGAGAGTTTACCTATAATCAGAGGGAAATTATCACATGGATTTGGAACGGGGTAGCTCTCACATGGTGAACTGAGGTTATGTGGTAGATGTTTGAGGGTTTGTGTGAGTGTAAGTATATGTACATTTGTGAACACACACACACACACACACAGATACTGGCTCAAAAATACATTTTTTATAGGCTGGTTTCTTTTTTGTCTCATTTACCCTACTGACCTAACAGTATTTTTTTCCCAAATATACACTTGAATATTTGTTTTGGGGACAATGTCTGTGAATCCAAAAATAAGAAAGTAATGATTACATGGTTATAATTATTTTTGATTTTAGATTATTTTTATAATATTACCAACAATTATACCAACAATTATTTATCTATAGATTCATTTGTCATATTTTCAACATTAGTCGGGTTGGCTTTTAAGCCTTCTTAACGTACCATATTCATGGTGATCTCTTATTTCCTTGTTTTACATACATATGAAATCCCTCCATTTGCTTTAATTTAGGTCATACCTCAAGTCCTGTCTTTCACAAAATCTTTGTTAATTTTAGCCCACTTCTAAACTTTATTATATCATGAATTGAATTTTAATTTCTCTAACATAGCTATACTTCTCTCTCCAACATTTGAGATTAGAGACTATACTCTCATATTCATTCAAATGTGAAACTCATATTATTGTTTAATAGGACTTTCTTGATAGACTAAGACTAATGTTTCATAATCTGTAGATGAACACAATATGTTATGATAAGTGCTATAACTAACTCTAAATAGAATGCACTGACAGCACAGAGAAAGGTAAAAATCAAATCTTCTTAGAGAGTGAGATTAGAACTACAGCAAAAGTGAACATTGAGTTCAATTAAAAAGAGAGCAGGTGGAGCGTTCCAGGCAAATAAATGGAAAGAGATATTCCATGAAGAAAATTGATACAAAAGGATACACAGTCATGAAACAGTACCAACATTTTTTGCAAAATAGGAAATGCCTTAGAGTGAAAGAAATAATATGATTGCCAAAGAGTAGTTTGGACAGTTGTGACTAGAGAGAGAAGTTATGGCCAAATTGTTGTGACCTTTAATGCTATATGGTAAGGAGTTTAGAATCAGCCTTTTGCCTAAAAAGACCTGGTGGAAGTCAATAATTAGTATTTTCCAATTTTATTTTCATCTTATAAGTATAAATGCAAATAATATTTATCACTCAAATCATATTGTTAGTATTCCTCACCCTGCTTCACCATACAAAGACCATGAATGCTTATGCTCATCTTTTATATTTAATTCTAGAGTTTAAGGCTTTCCCTTTGGGTAGTTATCTCTGACACAACTTTAAAAATAACAGAAGCTCTCTTCACAAAAAAACTGTGAAAGCACAAAAAAGTATAAAAATAAAACTGGCGTAAATTTTTGTTAAGGAAAATAAAGCTAAAACCACTAACTATATTTGTAGAGATTCACATTGCACACATTTAAAAAAAACTTGCTTTTAAGTCAGTATTAAAAATATTTATAAAAAGACTTTAAATCGAAGTAGTATTTTTTAGTAACTGATATTTCAATGAGTAAAACATACTTAATTAGAGCTATTTGCAGAATGATGTGTTGAACACAACATGAAATGTGCTCTGTAGTTTTCAGAAGGCAACAGTAAAGATACAAACCTGCCAGACATAAAATGATATTGGAATAACAAATGAGCGTAGACAGATGATTAAGTGTGTCATCACTTGCAAGTCTAAGGAAAATGAGTGTTGTTAGCTAAAATACTAAATGTTTTAAAAAGATGTCATCCCTGTCAAGTAGATATTTATTTATTCAACAAATATTTTTTGAGTACCTACTATGTAACAGGTCCTTTTCAAGGCACTCACGTAGGATTCTAGTGTGGAGACAATTAGTAAACAAGTAAACAAACAATATGATTTGAGAAAGTAAAAAAGGCTTTAAGGAAAACATAAAAGTGTGAGTGAGCATAGCAGTCTGAACTGAGGGCAACTTTTCCTAGGCTATTAAGGACAGCTGTCTCTGAAGAAGTGATAGGCAAAGGAGCTAGACCACAGGGAGTATGGTATTCCATGCAGTGCAGCTGTAAGATCATAACATCTCAGAGGAGATTAACTTTGGTCTATAATCAACCATTTGACTGGTCTTTGTCCTCTATTATTATGAGTAAGCCTCTAAAATCTTTAGAATTTACTTTCTTGTGATAGGAAGGTCTTTGTTATTTGCTGTGGGTCCCAGAGTTTATGTTCATAAAATGAGTCAGGTGGAGGCTTGCCATTCCAGAAAAACCAGCCATGTAATATCACCTGGGGTTTGGTCCAGGTGATATCAGACCAATGCCCAGGAGGAGAAGGGAACTAAAGTTCAATCACTGGTCAATGATTCTATGTATCATGCTTACATAATGAAACTGCAATAAAAACTCTGAACAACAATCTCAATTTCACTGTTCTGATTTGTATCCTTTATAATAAAATTGTAAACTTAAGTATTGTGCTTTCCCAAGTTCTGTGAGTCATTCTAGCAAATGACCACACTGATGGGGCAGTGGAAACCACAGAATTTGTAGTCATTTAGTCAGAAGCACAGATGGCCACAAAACCCTGGAGTTTCCGGCTGGTGCCTGAAGTGAGGAGGATCTTGTGAGGGACCCAACCCTCAACCTGAGAAGTCTGTGCTCAAAGTCTGAATAAAGTCAGAATTGTATTGAAGTGTTTAAGATAAATAAGGAGCAGAAAAAAGGCAAAATTGTGTTTGGAAAACATCAAGAGGGAAGACCACATTTGGGGGACTACAGGAACCAAAATACGGAGTTTGAATGTTTTTCCTAAGCACAATGGAACCTGTGGAAGATTTTTAGCAGGTGAGTAACATAAATGTAATTATGGTTAAAATGTTACCCTAGACACCATGTTGAGAATGGCAGACTGGTTTGGAGGCTAAAGTAATCTTCCAGGTAAAGACGACCAGGCATACATAGACTGTGTGGTCACAGTGGAAGTAAAAGTATTCCATTTTTTTCTTTTCTTCCTTTTTTTTTTTTTTTTTTTTTTTTTTGGTGTTAGATCCACAGAGCTTGCTGGGTTCAATAAGGAAGAAAGGTACTGAGAGAAATCAAAGACTATTCATATAATTGGCTTGAAGGTAGTAATTACTTAGATGGAGAAGGATGGGGAGAAACTGACCTGTAATACAAAGTGAAGAGTATTTTGTGTATATCAAGATGGACTATTGTGGTGACAAAATAATAATTCCTCCAAAGATGTCCACATTCTAATCTCTGGAATTTATGAATATGCTACCAGAATTAAGGCTGCTCTCCAGCTGACCTTAATGCAAGGGGAATAATCCTGTGTCATCTAGTAGGCCCAATGTAATCACAAGGTTCTCTAAAAGTGGAAGACGCAGGAGAGAAAATCAGAGGGATGGCAGAGTGAGAAGGATTCAGCACTAAGACACTAGCTTTGAACATGGAGGAAGAGGCCACGAAGCCAAGAAATGCAGTGGGCTTCTAGAAGCTAGAAAAGGCAAGGAAACAGATTTTCCACAGCGCCTCTAGGAAGGAACTCAGCTGTGCTAACTCCTTGGTTTTCTCCCCAGGGACACCTATGTTGGACTTCAAAACTATAGAACTGTAATAAAATAAATTTATGTGGTTTTAAGCCAGTAAAATTTCAGTAATTTGTTATGGCAGCAGTAAGAAACCAATACACCAGTTAGAAGTATTCAGGAGGAAGTTAATTTATAAATATTTAGTTCAAAGGAGAGGTTGGAGACAGAGACATAGATGCAAGGGTCAAAAGCATATTGACAAAAGGCAGATAGGCCAAAAGATGGCTAATTTAGATACATGTGTTGTGATAGATACAGTTTTGCAATTTGTACAATAGGGAAATTTTCTAGGATGAGTACTAAAATATTTGTATAAATATTTTAAAAGAATTTATCCATATGTTACTAGGCAAGTAGTAGGAAAAAAATTTTAAATCATATAATCATCTTATTCAATTCCTGATATAATTTTTATGTCGTGAATTATTTTGTTTAGAATATTCAAAACTATACTTTGTGAATTATTTTGTTTAGACTATATACTTTTGAATATTCTAAACAAAATAATTCATAACATAAAAATATAAAAGTAAAGTGTATAAAATTATACTTGTTTTTCATAAAACATGTTTTATGTGTTTATGTTTTTCATTTAGCACAGTTTTTAAAATTTCAAAACTAAGTATTAGAAAAATAATTAACATATATGCAAGATACAACAGAAGTTGTTCAATGGCTTATTCTATAGTAAGAATTGTGGAAGATTTTGTCTGCTTTTTTCTTTCCCCTCCATCAAATAATTTTATACTGCTTAACAACTATTGAAGAAATTCCAAAACAACACTGATTTAGTAAAATAATGAATAATTTTGTATTTGCTGAATGATAACTACTATCAGAGAATCATTAAATAAAAAATAATCTTTTTTTAACCAACTCTGGATACTGCCATGCTAATTATTTTGAGAAATGACAAAAGTTATTCTATATAATTTTCAGCAAAGTCAATTTCCCTTTATTTTATACAAATATATATTATTCTGGAGTAACATTATATTTAACTAGTTAAATTGTTTAACCACTTGTAATTCGAGGTTAATTTTTCCTGGCATCAATAGTGTCTTACTGAGATAATAATGGATTATGTTAAGACAGTCTTATTCTTTCCAGTTGAAAAGACTGTTCTCTAGCATGGGCAGAAAAGAAAGTCTGTTTTTTCCTTGATAAAGCAAATGAAAGTAAAGTGAAAAAAGCATTGCTGGAGCACACATCTAGACAAAGCTGCTTCATGCTTAAGAAGAAAGCCAGCTGTGAAGCGATACTGGCCATTTATGGTCAGATGATGGCTTTCAATGGCATCAGTTAAATTTAAAGATACCAAGAAAATTGTGTGACATTGCATTAAAAAGCTTTTAGACCGCTCTTTGGATACAAAATGCAGTTTTCGTGTAACTTTTCTCTCTCCAAGCTAGTGGAGAATAAGGCAATGATGTTTGTACTTTAGGGCAGACTGGGAGTTATTGTTACAGAATCCAAATCCAGCCAAGCAAGAATTGGGTACAAGTTATTCATTTCAATTGTGTCTTTTATACTGTACTTTTTAAAAGATTGATGTTTCCTTTTACCAAGAATTAGCTGCTATTCATATATTTTATTCAATTACAGTTATTATGTCCTGTTGAATTTTTTTTCACTACTCCTACCACTGTCCTTTCAGTATTCGCAAAAAAGCTCTTACAATATTCCATTCTGTGAGAAGTTTCGACCAAAAAGTGAGTGTAACTCTGATAACACTTATTTATAGAGCAGTTGGCTTTGATGAACAATGAACTGTTACTTGATTTTACTCTTGGTTCAAGGACATCCACAAGTGCTGTCAAATTGAAAGCACACAAGTCACCTTCCTAAAGAGGTAAGTGGTTTTCCTTCCTCTCTCTCCTGGACAGAGGTCAATTTCTGTTCAGATTGGTTTGTTTATTCCATGAGAATATGGTATTTAAAACACATAATTAAAATGTACAGTTTGAAAAGTTTGGACATATGTATACACTTGTTTAACCATCACCAGTCATTATAATGAGCACATCCTTTATCCTCAGAAGTTTTCTCATGCCGTTTGCAATGGATTCCTTTCCTCCTGTCTCTACACTCCAGCCCCAGGCAACCAACGATCTGCTTTGTCACTGTGGATTAGTTTGTTTGATTTAGCATTTTATATCAAAGAAATCATAGAGTCTGTATCTTTTTTTGTCTTGCTTCTTTCACTCAGCATAATTATTTTGAGATTTATTGTGTTGTAGCATGAATAAGTAGTTAATTTATATCTACTGGTGTGAAGTATTCTATTGCATGGAAACAACACAATTTATGTATCTATTCACACATTGATGTACTTGGCAAGTAAAGTTGCTATGTGGTGTTATAATTTGCATTTTCCTAGTGAATAATGATGTTCAGCATCTTTTCATAGATTAGTTGGTCATCCAGCTACTTTGGGGAAGTATCTGCTCAAATATTTTGATTATTTTAAAAAATTGGATTGTTTGATTTTTAGTAAGTTTCAGTAAACATTTGAGTTTTTAGAATTGTTTATGCATTTGGTATACAGGCCCTTTGTGAGATATGTGATGTGCAAATATTTTCTCCCAGTCTGTGGCTTGTCTTTTCATTCTCTTTCAATGACTTTCAAAGTGTTATTTTTAATTGTAATGAAGTCCAACTCATTAATTTTTTTGTTATGGTTTGTGTTTTCATTGACATATCAATAAAATCTTTGCCTAATTTCATGCCATAAAGATATTTTTCCTGTATTTTCTCCCTGAAGATATATAGTATTTTGTTTTACATTTAGGTCTATTACTCATGTTGATCCAATTTGAGTTAATTTCTGTATATGGTATGAGGTATTAAGAGAGTTCATTTTTTACATGAATATTCAATAACTATAGCACTATTCATTCAAAAGATTATCCTGTGTGCACTGAATTGCTTTATAAAAACTCAGTTGTTCATATATTTATATGTCTGTTTCTAGACTCTTAGTTGTTTCATTTATCTGTCTGTCTTTACACAAGTGCCACACTCTATGATTAATGTAGTTTTATAATAAGCCTTGAACCTAGGTAGCATTATTCCTGTAACTTTATTTTTCAAAGTTGTTATGACTCTTTATATAAGCTTTATAAATGGCTTTTTGAATTTCCATATGAATTTTGAAAGTGGTCTGTCATTTCTATTAAAAAGAAGACAAAAACCCCTGGGAATTTTATTAAGATTGCATTAAATCTATAGGTCAATTTAAGAAGAATTGACATTTTAAAACTATTAAGATTTCTAATTCATGCACATAGTATCTCTTTGCTTATCTAAGACATAATTTTTTCAACGTTTTGTAGTTTTCAGTGTATTAGTCCTTTACATGTTTCCAGAAATTTTTCCTGTTTCACTTATTTCTAGTTTCTAAAGGTAGAAGTTGAGATAATTGATTTCAGATCTTATTTCTTTTCTAATGCAGATCTTTCACACTATAAATTACTGATTTAGTGGCATGCATAAATTTCAGTATGCTGCATTTTTATTTTTATTTAAAAATTATTTGTAATTTATTTTTTATTCTTCCTTTGACTCCCTCACCGTTCAGTTTTTAGAAGTACTTTAGCTAGTTCTCTCTCTCTCAATTTTATTTAATTTCATTGTGATCAAAAAATATACTTTGAATAACAAATTTTTTTAAGTTTATAAAGATTTATTTTCTGGTTAAGAATATAGTCTATTTTGGTGACTAATTCATGAGCCCCTGAAAATAAGGCATATTTTCAGTTTTAAATAAAGTGCTAAATGCCAGTTATGTCAATTTGGTCTCCTAAATGCCAATTATGTCAATTTGGTTTATGATATTGTTTGGCTGTTCTCTCATGTATCTTTATTGACTCTCTATCTACTTATCAATTATTGACACAGGAGTATTTAAATTGCCAACTATAATTATGGATTTATCAATTTCTCCTTCCAGTTCTATCAGTTTATACTTTATGTATTTTGAAATTTTGTTGAATTCTAGGTGGTAAAGCCCATTATCACTCAAATTACGATCAAATGACCCAGTTTCTTGGGAATGCTAACATTCTTGAATTTACATTTTCTATTGCTATGCCTCCAAATTAATCGCCCCATATAAAGAGATGCTTAGGCTGAGAGTATGCCCAGGATGGAAAGAGGAGACAAACACACGAAGTACCCAATAGCATTGTCTTCAAAGGACAGGCTCTGATAGCCGGTAAGATCTGTGTAGTAAATAGACTTCTCTCTCATTTAGCCTTATTAATTTGGAATTCTGGGCTTCAGTCTTTTCATCCTTAAAATAACTAATGATAAGAATGCTAATCTTTTAAGACAACTTTGAAGATAAAGTGAAATAATTCTTATAAAACACACTGCATAGGGCTTGACACAGGGTAGCTGTTAGTCTAAGATAAGTGCTATTATCATTTGGCAAGCTGTATTTTTACCCTTGTTTATCTTTGACCTGCAATCTCCTCAGGAATTTATTTTTCAACTTTAAGGGTCTAGAAAACATAAACTACTCCTGGAAGTCACATACTAAGTAGAGGACTCGATGTCTGAGTAAAGTCATCCTTCATTGGTAGCCAAATACAGGACACAGTGAGTTTCAAGGGTGTCAGAACATTTTCACACTATTGTCTAGCAAACCCCATTTAAATTCCAAGAGTGGGGTTGTCAGGATTAGATATGGATTTTCATGAACTAATAAAATAGTCATAATATAAATACATATGGGAAATTTTCTATCAATAAATGTTGAATAATGAAAATATGTTAGTTGCTGCTGTTACGATATTTAGAAGGAGCACTAAATTAAATTAATTAAATTAAGATTCTACAGTTAAAAATAGCACTAGAATTTCTTGTGAAATATGACACTTAACATTAAAAATGTCAGTGGCAAATGTTGCTATTATTTCTCTTTTTCTCAAAACTTCCTCAATTACAATGGCTGTGTTTAATAAATTATATTTTAATTAAAGCAGGAAAAGGGAAAATTAGGTGAAAAAAACCTCATCTTTTATTAGAAGTCTTCTTTGAGGGAAACACTAATTTTCATCGTGAATATCATTCAGCTGGAGGTGGCATTGAAGATTTAATTTGGAAAGATGTCAAGAAAACAAAGGATTTCTCTCTGACCTCCTTTCCCCAATGGAAAAGATGATATCACTTCGAAGTTTCTTCTAAAACAAAGAATAACTTTTCAAAAGTTTCCTTTGAAATTGGAGTCAGTAAAGCTGAACAAAAATATCATAAACACACCTAATCTTTGTCCACTTCCCAAGCCTGTCCCAATTTCTGATGAATGCTACACTCAGAACCATTTCTCATATAAAGAGAACATTTGCTATTTATTGGAAAAAGTTCCATTTTTTTGACAATGTACTGTAATTCCTTGGGAGTAGGCTCCTAAATTGTCAATCTTGGCATATGAAAAATTCAAACGAATTAACAATAAAATTGTTATATTAGTCTGTTCTCACACTGCTGTGAAGAAACATCAGAGACTGGGTAACTTAGAAAGGAAAGAGGTTTACATGACTCACAGTTCTGCGTTGCTGGGGAGGCCTCAGAAACTTACAATAATGGCAGAAGGCAAAACAGAAGCAGGCACCTTACTCACAGTGCAGCAGGATGGAATAAGTGCAAGCAAGGGATACGCTGGATGCTTATAAAACCATCAGATCTCCTGAGAACTCACTCACTATCATGAGAACAGCATGGGGGAACCGCCACCATCATCCAATTACCTCCACCTGTTCCCGCCCTTGACACATGGAGATTATGGGGATTACAAATCAAGGTAAGATTTGGGTGGGGACCCAAAGCCAAACAATTATATAAACAAAGAAATGGAATTTTTCAGATTATTTTCTTCAATTAAATTATATAAAGTATATGAAGAGAAGAATATGCTATATCTTATTTTCAGGATAAGTCTACAATATTCATTTTATAAATTAAAGAGTTAATGTTTTCATTCAAATTGTCATAACAATCCAAATATAGGCTACCAAGAAATAAACCTAATAACATATAAGCAAGAGTTTAGCCAACACACACAGACACACACACACACACACAAAGACACACACACACACATTAATAAAACACATGGAGGAAGATGCAGATTTGTGGAGAAACATGCCATGTTAATAGTTGTTAAGAGAGATACAGTAATAATATTGATATCACCAAATTGATTTGTATATTAAGCATAATTTCAATAATTCCAGTATATATGGAAGAACAAATAACCAGGGAGAATCATGACAACGTAAAGAATAAGATTTCAGAAGGGAGACTTGCCCCATAGGATTTATTCATGTCCATTACACAGATCAATCCCAAATGGATAAATAATATAATTATAAAATGATTTCTAGGAGAATGTCAAAGTATCTTTAGGGGAGAGAAGATTATAATAAGGTAAAAACACAAAATTTTAAAGAATATATATTTAATTATGTTCACATTAATATTTTTCTCTTTGTCAAAAGGCACATTAAAGAAAGTATAAATTCAAATTACTTACAAGGATAAGATCCCTCAAAACAAATAATTGATAAAAGATTGCTATGCAAAATTATAAAGAATGTCCATAAATCAATAAGAAAAAGACAATTAAATAGAAAAATGGTTACACACATTCAAATAAATTACCAAAAAGTTAACAGCATAAATTGCCAATAATAATGTTATAAGTGTGCTCACGTTTATTTATTATCAATAAGCTACAGATTGTAAAATAATGAAATGAAATTGTTTTATTATCATTTTCAACTATGAGGGCTCAAATATTATTATTTTTATAAAATATATTTCAGAATACTTAATAAGCTCAATGTTTTCTTTTGACTTTTAAAGTAGTTATAAGACAGTAGAGGAATACTGAGTATTAGATGTTTTATTTCTTTGTGGAAAACAAAAGAATTTAGTGACATTTGAAAAACCTAGGATCTTGTTTACTAACACTGAAATAACTCCTAATACTACCTTAGCATTCAAGCAAAACTCTGCTCCTTCAGATTTGTTTTTCTTATTCTGTTTTGTAAGGTGGTGAAGAAATGACATATGACAAAGCACAACAGAAAATATTCCTGAGGCAAGTGTATCATGCGTATATATGTCTAAGATTTTTTGGTTTTATATTTACCCTGAGACATTTTCAGTCACAAGTTGTATTATCTTTGGAGTCATATATTTTAGTTTTCCTAATTTATACACACACACACACACCAGATGTCCTAAAGTTGCTATTTCTGTTGACTCCTTGGACAGATCATAAAGAATCTCTGAAAAGAAGAATATAAAGGTATTTGTACAACTTAAAAATGTAAGAAAATACATAAAGCTAAATCAAGTAAAATGTCATATGTTGAGCATTTAATATATACAAATATTTTATACCAATTCTTTATTTCTTTTTTTTCTTTTCTTTTTCTTTTTTTCTTTTTTTTTTTAGACGGAGTCTCGCCCTGTCGCCCAGGCTGGAGTGCAGTGGCGCCATCTTGCCTCACTGCAAGCTCCGCCTCCCGGGTTCACACCATTCTCCTGCCTCAGCCTCCCGAGTAGCTGGGACTACAGGCACCCGCCACCATGCCCGGCTAGTTTTTTGTGTTTTTAGTAGAGACGGGGTTTCACCGTGTTAGCCAGGATGGTCTCGATCTCCTGACTTAATGATCCGCCCGCCTCAGCCTCCCAAATTGCTGGGATTACAAGAGTGAGCCACCGCGTCCAGCCCCAATTCTTTATTTCAATATGTTCACATATCAAAATATGGTTCACATAGTTATATAGCTCACATTATAAAATGATTTATAGAATACAGTTATACTTATCTTACAGATGTAGCAAATGGGGTCCAGAGAGTTGACTGAGTTACTCAGGAGCACATAGATATAAGTGGGCTTTGATTGGAGTCAATAACTGACTTACTCTAAAACCTATACCATTTCAGGAGATTTTTACAAATGTCAGAGTGGACCAACTCTAAGACAACCTTTATGCTCATAAGAGACCACCAGCAACACAGGAGGTAGTATGATTGATTGTAGGTTGGACACAGTGGTTCACACCTGTCATCTCAGCACTTTGGGAGGCCGAGGCAGATGGATCACATGAGGCCAGGAGATTGAGAACAGCCTGGTCAGCATGGTGAAACCTTGTCTCTACTAAAAATGCAAAAAATATTAGCCAAGCATGGTGCACACCTGTAATCCCAGCTACTTCGGAAGCTGAGGCAAGAGAAATCACTGGGAGGCAGAGGTTGCAGTGAGCCGAGGTCACGCCACTGCACTCCAGTCTGGGTGACCGAATGAGACTCCATCTCAAAAAATAAAAAATAAAGATGATTGTAAGGCAGTTTCCATGCCTTGTAAAGCAGCTCCTCAAACACAAATGAAACTGTTGACTGAATGGTGCAGTATTATGGAAAAAAATTTAGAATGAAAAAAAAAAAAAGGAAAGCACAGTAAGAACAGATGTGGATAGATAGAAAGTGAAAATGCGAAAGTCAGAGCTAATGCAGAAGTAGGAAATGAGAAGAAAGACTGGGTTACCTTACCTCCCACAATTTTGAACTTGCCTGATAAAAAAAAAATATTACCTCGGCCCTTGGGTTTGGTGACTAAAGGCTGATATTGATTGACAGGATAGACAGGATCCCCAGAAAGTTAACACTATGATACTAGTAATTTTGTAAGCCTCTTTCTTGCTGAGGGATTGAACAGAATTATTAAACTCAAATTATTGCCTGGAACCTAGGAGTTAGAAAAGGCAATCACTATTACTGGAGAAAATAATAGAAAAATGTGGTTAATAATTTTACTCAGCAGAAGAAGGAAAGAAATTGTATATGATACAATGCACCCTCAATCTGAATTTACTAGTAGGGTTTAATGGTGCGATGAGGAAAAAGTTATTAATTCCTGTATTTTAAATGTCTTCTCTGTGAAGTTACTCACAAAATTACTATAATAATTAAAAATATAAAAGACAATTATATCCATAAATTATGTAACACATTTTCCAGCATTTGACAATCTTATTTGAAATTTGTATCTTGAGTTTGTATCTTGTATCACTTCTTTCAATACCCCCAAATGAAAATGTTAACCTGGTTATTATTCCAGAAGTTTAAATATTATAACTAGATATTCAAATACCTAACAAATAACATGTTGATATTTTGTTCATTTCAAAAGAAAGATGTGACTTTCAGGTGCAGTGTATTAATTACTTAAGAGTATAATACATGTGGGCATAGCTATGGATACAACAGAACTTAGAGTTCTCAAAACATTTTTTAAAAAGTAAATTTGCTAATTTTTAACAGTCATTTTTATGCAACTGGATATGTATTAATATAGAATTTTTCTTGCCATAATAATAAAAAAGAAACTATTTTCTTACCTATTATCCTATGATCATGTGAATTTAGACCAAATTACTTAAATGAGACAAAGCTCTCAAGCTCTTTATTTGGATAAAGAAGCAATTTGGTTTATAATTTTATTGTGCCTTTATGGAGGAAGAAGGGGGTCAAATCTCCTTTTCTTCTCTGGCCAAGAAATTCTACAGGTACCCATGCTTCACAGGAATGCAAAGTAGTCAATGAAATCTATTACATTAAGCAACAAGTGTAATTACAGAATTTTGAATAATTCAAAGTTATGAGTTGTTTAACAACAGAGCATATCTCAATGTCTGAAATTTAGGCATCTTAAATAATTTCTTAGTTTAAATAATACTTTTAAGTAGAACTTTGCAATAGCAGAAAACAGAACAGTATCATACATTTTTTATACAAGCTTGCATATTTGATAAGACTCCAAGATTTGTATTTTGGCAATGTTCCCTATTTAACATTTTATTAGCTCTAATTTTATGAATTTGAATTGTGTTTGCTTGCAATTCATGTAACTGTAAGGGAAAAGGCAAGATATTCTCCTTCTGACACTATTTTTTGCTATTATTCTCAAGGGTAAGCCATGGCGTTTCATCAATTAACAATAAAGGAAGAAAGCAGGCCTAAAGCCTATGATGGAAAAAGAAAATGGCAGAAGAGATTGTGAACTTAAGTAAAGTATTGTAGGTATGCCGATGTATATTTTGAATTTATGGGTAGGAAACATAATAAAGCCTTATAAGAAAGAGAACATGTGCACCACCAGAAAAATTGAAGCATCATTTTCTTCCATTCTTTTACTACTAAAGTCAAATGACACACATTTAAGTAGAAATTTGTAATAACAGAAAACAGAATAGGATCATACATTTCAAATGACTTTAGTAGTAAAAGAATGGAAGAAAATTGTCTGATTATTCATTTATTGTTTCTGCTATTCAGCTAATTCTGCTGGCATTGTAAAGCTACTATCTGTCAGAGAAGAATAAATAGATTGACAAGAGATGAACACTCTTCAGAATAGGGAAAAGTTCAGTGTGGTACTCCAAGAACTATCTACTGCATTAATTGTGCAATAAATGTTTAAATGTATTAAGGTATTCTTAATACTGTACTAAAGTATTCTCTCAGGTTGAATTGAAAAGTGATTTTCATTTCTGCTTTTTATCTCTGAATCATTCTCTCTCTTTTTTTAATTTCCAACTTTTATTTTAGGTTCAGGAGTACATGTGCAGAATGTGCAGTGTTGTTACATAGATAAATGTGTGTCATGATGGTTTGCTGCACGGATCATCTCATCACCCAGGTATTAAGCCCAGCATCCATTAGCTATTCTTTCTTATGCTCTCCCTTCTAAAAAGTGTTCTACCCTTCACCTTAAAAAATGCCCCAGTGTGTGTTCTCCACCCCCATCATGTGTGCATGTGTTCTCATAATTCAGCTCCCACTTATAAGAGAGAGCATGCAGCATTTGGTTTTCTTTTCCTGCATTAATTTGCTGATAATAATGGCTTCCATGACCTTGCAAAGGACATGATTTTGTTCCTTTTTATGGCTGCATAGTATGTATATGTACCACATTTCCTTTATCCAGTCTATCATTTGATGGGCATTTAGGTTGATTCCATCTCTTTGCAATTGTGAAGAGTGCTGCAATAAATATACACATGCATGTATCTTTATAATAAAAAGATTTATATTCCTTTGGTTATATATCCAGTAATTGGGATTGCTGGGTCGAATCGTATTTCTGCCTCTAGGTCTTTGAGGAATGGCCACACTGTCTTCTACAATGGTTGAGCTAATTTACACTCCCACCAATAGTGCATAAGTATTCCCTTTTCTCGGCAACCTCACCATCATCTGCTATTATTTTTTTTGACTTTTTAGTAATAGCCATTCTAACTGGTGTTAGATGGTATCTGATTATGGTTTTGATTTGCATTTCACTAATAATCAGTGATGTTGAGCTTTTCTTCATGTATTTGCTGGCCACATGTATGTCCTCTTTTGAGAAGTGTCTGTTCATGTCCTTTGCCCACTTTTTAATGTGGTTGTTTGGTGGTTTTTTTCTTGTAAATTGTTTAAGCTTCATGTAGATGCTGGATATTAGACCTTTATCAGGTGGATAGAGTGCAAAAATTTTCTTCCGCTCTTTACATTGTCTGTTTCCTCTGTTGATAGTTTCTTTTGCTGTGCAGAAACTCTTTTGTTTAATTAAATCCCATTTGTCAATTTTTGCTTTTGTTCCAATTGCTTTTGGCATCTTCGTCATGAAATCTTTGCCTGTGCCTATATCCTGAATAGAATTGCCTTTGTTTTCTTATAGGGTTTTTATAGTTTTGGGTTTTACATTGAAGTCTTTAAACCATATTGAGTTAATTTCTGTATAAGTTGTAAGGAATGGGTCCTGTTTCAATTTTCTGCATATAGCTAGGCAGTTCTTTCTGTACCATTTATTAAACAGGGAATCTTTTCCCCATTGCTTGTTTTTGTCAGATTTGTCAAAGATCAGATGGTTGTCAGTGTGTAGTCTTATTTCTGCGTTCTCTATTCTGTTCCATTGATCTGTGTGTCTGTTCTTGTACCAGTATCATGCTGTTTTGATTACTGTAGCCCTGTAGTATAGTTTGAATTCAGATAGCATGATGCCTTCAGCTTCGTTCTTTTTGCTTAGAATAGCCTTGGCTATTTGGGCTCTTTTTTTGTTTTCATAGGTATTATAAAACAGTTTTTTCTAATTCTATGAGGAATGTCAATGGTAGTTTAACAGGAACAGCACTGAATCTATAAATTACTTCAGGCAGTATGGCCATTTTCACAATATTGATTCTTCCTATTCATGAACGTGAACTTTTTTGTGTTTACTTTTGTCATCCCTGACTCCTCTGAGCAGAGCTTTGTAGTTACCTTGTAGAGATATTTCACATCCTTTGTTAGCTGTATTCCTATGTGTTTTATTCTGTTTGTGATGATTGTGATTGGGAGTTCATTTGTGATTTGACTCTCAACTTGACTCTTGTTGGTGTACAGGAATGCTAACAATGTTTGCACACTGATTTTGAATCCTGATATTTTACTGAAGTTGATTATCAGCTTAAGAAGTTTTGGGGCTGAAATGACGGTGTTTTCTAGATATAAAATCATGTCATCTGCAAACAAAGATAGTTTGACTACCTCTCTTCCTATTTGAATACACTTTATTTCTTTCTCTTGCCTGAATTCCCTGGCTAGAGCTTCCAATACTGTGGTGAATAGGAGTTGTGAGAGAGGGCATCCTCATCTTTTGCCAGTTTTCAGGGAAATGCTGCCAGTATGATATTGGCTGTGGGTTTGTCATATATGACTGTTATTATTTTGATATATGTTCCTTTAATACCTAGTTTATTCAGAGTTTTTAAAATGAAGAGATGTTGAATTTTAATGAAGGCCTTTTCTGCATCTATTGAGATAATCATATGGTTTTTGTCTTTAGTTCTGTTTTTGTGATGAATCACATTGATTGGTTTGCATATATGATGAATCACATTGATTGGTTTGCAAATATTGAACTGACCTTGCATCCTGGGGATAAAGCCTACTTGATTGTGGTGGATATGATTTTTGATGTGTTGCTGGATTCAGTTTGCCAGTATTTTGTCAAGGATTTTTGCATCAATGTTTATCAAGGATATTGTCCTGAAGTTTGTTTTTTTGTTGTATCTCTGGAGGTTTTTGTATCAGAGTGATGCAGGCCTCATAAAATGAGTTAGGGAGGAGTCCCTTCTTTTCAACTTTTTGGAATAGTTATGGTATGAATGATACCAGCTCTTCTTTGTACCTCCTCTAGGACTTATTTTTTTCTTTTGGTTGGTAAGCTATTAGTGCCTCAATTTCAGAACTCATTATTGGTCTATTCAGGGATTCAATTTCTTTCTGGTTCAATCTTGGTAGGGTATATGTGTCCAGCAATTTATCCATTTATTTTAGATTGTATAGTTTATAGAGGTGTTTGTAGTATTCTCTGATGGTTGTTTGTATTTCTGTGGGGTGATATGCCCTTTCTTTCTGACTGTGTTTATTTGAGTCTTCTCTCTTTTCTTCTTTATTAGTCTAACTAGCAGTCTAACTATTTTATTTTATTTTTTTCAAAAATCAGCTCCTTTACCGTTTGAATTTTTGAAGGCCTTTTTCCTATCTCTATCCTCTTCAGTTCAGCTCTGATCTTAGGTATTTCTTGTCTTGTGCTAGCTTTTTTTTTTTTTTTTTTCTTTTTTTTTCTAGTTCTTTTAGTTGTGATGTTAGGCTTTCAACTTGAAATTGTTCTGGCATTTTGATGTGGGCATTCAGTGCTATAAATTTTCCTCTTAGCACTGCTTCAGCTGTGTTATGGGGATTCTAGTACATTGTATCTTTGTTCTCATTAGTTTCAAAGAACTTCTTGATTTCTGCCTTAATTTCATTGTTTACCCAAAAGTCATTCAGAAGCAGGTTGTGCAATTTCCCTGTAGTGGAATGGTTTTGGGTGAGTTCTAATTTGATTGCATTCTGATCTGAGAGACTGTTTATGATTTCACTTCTTTCGCATGTTTCTGAGGAGTGTTTTACTTCTTATTATGTGATCAATTTTACAGTGAGTGCCATGTGGTGATGAGAAAAATGTATATTCTGTTATTTTTGTTTGGAGAGTTGTGTAGATATCCATCAGGTTCTCTTGATCCAGAGCTGAGTTCAGGTCCTGAATATCTTTATTAATTTTCTATCTCAATGATCTGTCTAATATTGTCAGTGGAATGTTAAAGTCTCCCACTATTATTGTGTGGGAGTCTAAGTCTCTTTGTAGATCTCTAAAAACTTGCTTTATAAATATAGGTACTCTTTTATTATGTGCCTATATATTTGGGATAATTAGCTCTCCTTGTTGAATTGAACCCTTTACCATTATGTAATGCCCTTCTTTGTCTTTTTTAATGTTTGCTGGTTTAAAGTCTGTTTTGTCAGAAACTAGGATTCCAACCCATGCTTTTTTTCTGTTTTTCATTTGTTTGCTAGATTGTCCTCCATCCTTTTATTTTGAGCCTGTGAGTGTCTTTGCCTGTGAGATGGGACTTTTGAAAACAGCATACTGATGGGTCTTGCTTCTTTATCCAGCCTGTCATTCTGTGTCTTTTAATTGGGACATTTAGCCCATTTACGTTTAAGATTAGCATTGCTATATGTGGATTTAATCTTGTCATCATGATGCTAGCTAGTTATTTTGCAGACTTGAGTATGCGGTTGTTTCACAGTGTCACTGGTCTGTGTAACTTCAATGTGGCTTTATAGTGGCTAGTAATGGTTTTTCCTTTCCTTGTTGAGTGCTGTCTTCAGGGCTCTTGTAAGGCAGGTCTGGTGGTAATGAATTCCCTCAGCATTTGCTTGTCTGAAAAGGATCTTATTTCTTCTTTGTTTATGAAGCTTAGTTTGGCTTGATATAAAATTCTGGCTTGGAAATTCTTTTCTTTAAGAATTTTGAATATTGGCCCCCAATCACTTCTGGCTTTTAGGGTTTCTGCTGAAACCCCCCCATCCCTCTAGGGTCTCCTTCCAAGGGAGAGATCAGATCTCTGTCCATAGAAAACAGGCAGGGGTGGCTGGAGGCCCCACCTGGGAGGTCAGACCCAGTGAGGAGGGATGGATCTGGGTCCTACTTAAAGAAGCAGTCTGGCCATGAATTGGCAAAGCAGCTGTGCTGTGCTGGGTGGTGGTGGGACTTCCTTGTTGAGACCTTTTAGAGTTTCCAAAGCTCTCAGACTAAAATGGCTGAGTCAACCAAATGGCAGAGATGGTGACCTGACCCTCCACTAGTGGACTCTGTCTCATCTCAGGCTGGCTCCTCCACCCTATTGCTGGTGGCTGGCTGGAATTCCAAGCCAGCAGGTCTTATCTTGTGAGATGCCATGGAATTGGGGCCTGCAGGATGATGCTGTCTGGCTCCCTGGATTCAGCCCCCATCCTGGGGGTATGTACAGACCTCCTGCCTTGCCTGAGTTGCAGACACATTTGTTCGGGATTCTGGGGGCTGGAGTATGTAAAGCTTCTGGGTCTCTCTGTGTGCCTGAGTAGCTGCTCTGCCAAGACCCCAAAAACACTGATGGCGTGGGCTCACAAGGGGATCTCCTGATCCACAGGTTGCAAAGATCTGTGGAAGAAGCTTGGTTTCCTGGGGTCACACAATCACTCACTGCATCTCTTGGCTGAGGATGGGGGTTCCCCGGGCCCTGTGTCGCTCCTGGGTGGGCCATCGTCCCACCCTGCATTTCTTTTTTCTCTTTGGGTCAAGTTGTTTCCCTGATCAATCCTAATGTGAGTACTGGGAGTACTTGCTCCTTTCGTTCCTCTTCATTAGTGCTGTGGACCACAGCTGCTTCTAATCGGCCATCTTGTGGCTACTTCCCCCAATCATTCTCTTGATCTTTTTTCTACCTCTCAATAGCCAGCTCACTTGGTATAGGAAAGAATATGCTGTATGAAAGGATTTTTTTGTCAATATCAAAGAACTCTAATTTGAGAGGAAAAGAAGGAGGGCCAATACAGAAGAAGAAGATGGAAATCATGAGTGATCTATGTATAGCAGCATATTATATTGCTAACTTGCTAAAGTTAATAAAATTAAAAATGATATCTTTTCATTTTCTATGTGTCTTTTAAATTTGTCTTCAAATGTTTTTTCATTTTCTACTGTGTACTCAAATTTTTTCATGATATCTTTCAAGACATACAGCAACTACATTTTTAAAAGGAATAAACTGAATGGCATCACACAATCACTTTTAATTATGTATTTATACAAAGATGAAAATAAGTTGAGATGACAGAAAACAATGGTTTGTTAGGTGAAGATGTAACTTTTCAGATTTTGTAATTTTCATTGAAATGTAGTTATAGAACTTTCAGTAGAACAGCTAAAGTAAAATGAGGTGAAAAATCTCATTAATTAATGACTGGAAACAAAGATACTCCTGAAATATATATATATATATATTATAATATATATTATATATAATATATATAAATATTAATATATATTATATATTATATGATATATGATATATATATAGTTGGCTGTCTATATCACTATTACTATATCTGTTTATAATCTAAAGATAACCTTGTCTTTAACATTGGAGGACATTTAGAATAGACCTCAGGTAAGTGTAGATTGAACTGATTTCTATTTTATAAGGTATCTTTTTTTCTATTACTTTATTATACTTTAAAATAAAGAAAAGTAGGGCCAGGTGCGGTGTCTCACGCCTGTAATCCCAGCACTTTGGGAGGCTGAGACAGGGGGATCATGAGGTCAGAAGAGCGAGACCATCCTGGCTAACACAGTGAAACCCCATCTCTACTAAAAATAAAAAAAAAATTAGCCGGGCGTGGTGGCAAGCGCCTGTAATCCCAGCTACTGGGGAGGCTGAGGCAGGGGAATGGTGTGAACCCAGGAGGCGGAGCTTGCAGTGAGCCAAGATTGCACCACTGCACTCCAGCCTGGGCGACAGAGCGAGACTCTGTCTCAAAATAAATAAATAAATAAAAATAAATAAATAAAAATATGGTATATATAGTAATAAAAATATCAGAATTATGAATACTGTAAATGTACTCGTTAATATGGTATAAAGGGTCTCTTTTAAGTTATTGACTCCAAACTAATTGAGCAATTCAAATTACATATCTTAATTTTATTCAGAATAAATTTATCAAACCTTGTAATTTTTCCAGTATCATGAATTGTACAAATTGGGTTTTAATCAAATAACAAGATTAAAATATATTTTTAATATATAAATTCTTAAAAAAGGCAGTAAGGTATAGTGAAAGCACTCGATTGAAAGTATGATCTCTGTTCAAAACTTGTCTTCATCAATTTCTTGCTCTGTGGCTGTGAAAAAAAATGCTTTAGGTCTTGAAATCTCAGTTTGTCTATCTACAATTTAGGAATAATACCATTGTTTCTCAATTCAAATATATACCCTTTAAATATCTCTTAAATTGGGATGAAATTTACATAAGTAAAAAAATCAACTAGTCAGCCGACAGAGTATTAGGTGTTGTGAGTTTATTGTCCTTCTGTAATAAACTGTATTGATGGTATTTATTTATTTCATTGTTAATTTAGTGCATTTATTTGAATCAGTTGTGGTATAAATTGCCAACTCTCACAGAATAAATCAAAAGTTGGGAAGCTATGTGGGTGATTTAATGGAATATTACTTAAGTCTTGAATATATGTCAAAAATTATCACTTAGTTTACAAATACATAGAAGTTAAATTAAAGAGAAAATAACCCAAAATTAAAAACTAAAAAAAAAAAAATCAACTCGAAAGTACAAACTGCAGATATTCACCAACCTTCCTATACGTGTAGCATACTATGAATGAAGTGTTACTCTTTGTGCGGATGTATAAAATTGCCTTTCATATTAAAGAAACTGTGTATTCCTTCTGGCAATATGAGAAAAACAAAACTGTTTTATCATGCTGAGTAGATATTTCCATTAAAATATAAAAATAAGTGAGATAATATATGAAAGTAATGCAGTTTAAAATATCAAAAGACAATGGTGAGTTCTTCCATTTCTTGTCAAGATGGAGTAATAGGCACTGCACATACACCGCTGCCTAAAAACAAAAACAAAGAAAGACAAAATATTTGGAACAACAGCACTCAAAGCATTGAGTGTTAAGCAATGACAGACAAAGAATGAGAAACAAGGAGATGACCCACTCTCCAGGGCATGGAACTTGGAGGGGAAATCCAGACAGAGCCCAGTGGTCTTTAAACTTAAGAGGATATTTATGCAGCCAAAAAACACATGAAAAAATGCTCATCATCACTGGCCATCAGAGAAATGCAAATCAAAACCGCAATGAGATACAATCTCACACCAGTTAGAATGGCAATCATTAAAAAGTCAGGAAACAACAGGTGCTGGAGAGGATGTGGAGAAATAGGAACACTTTTACACTGTTGGCGGGACTGTAAACTAGTTCAACCATTGTGGAAGTCAGTGTGGCGATTCCTCAGGGATCTAGAACTAGAAATACCATTTGACACAGCCATCCCATTACTGGGTATATACCCAAAGGACTGTAAATCATGCTGCTATAAAGACACATGCACACGTATGTTTATTGAGGCATTATTCACAATAGCAAAGACTTGGAACCAACCCAAATGTCCAACAATGATAGACTGGATTAAGAAAATGTGGCACATATACACCATAGAATACTATGCAGCCATAAAATATGATGAGTTCATGTCCTTTGTAGAGACATGGATGAAATTGGAAATCATCATTCTCAGTAAACTATCGCAAGAACAAAAAACCAAACACTGCATATTCTCACTCATAGGTGGGAATTGAACAATGAGATCACATGGACACAGGAAGGGGAATATCACACTCTGGGGACTGTTGTGGGGTGGGGGGAGGGGGGAGGGATAGCATTGGGAGATATACCTAATGCTAGATGACGAGTTAGTGGGTGCAGCGCACCAGCATGGCACATGTATACATATGTAACTAACCTGCACAATGTGCACATGTACCCTAGAACTTAAAGTATAATAAAAAAAAAAGAAAGAAAAAAATAAAGAGGATAAAGCTAGGAGTCCTAGAAATCCAAGGTCAGCAGACATTGCAGGCCAGCCTACTAGAGAGAAAAGGGCTGTAATTAAGAGGGGCGTCAGTTATAGTACTAAGCATGGTCTTAGTCTTAGACGTCTGAATTGATTTGGGATAGCTCTTCCCTTCATTTGACTTGGGAGAAATAATATAATCTCACTGAGACACCTCAAATATAAAGTGGAAACTATAACTACTAAAGCGCAAAAAATGCTATAAAAATGCCTAGCAAATACTAGGTGCTCATTAAATGCCCATTTTTAGGGAAGATGCTGATGATGAAGAACAGAACTGAACTTGAATGTTTGAAGAAATGAAACTTGAAAATTGTAATAAGACCATGTTTTTACAGAAAAGTATGTTTTCTGACTTGAATTGGCTAGTGTGTGTCTGTGTGTGTGTGTGTGTGTGTATATGTATTTGTAATTATTTGTAATATACTATACTATACGTTCAGGAGATCTAGTTTTAATATGCAGACTATTAGAATGAAGGTCCTACCAAGTAAACTTTAGTACTTGAGCCTTGTGTTTGGAAGGGGTACAGTAATTTTAAATGTTTTTCAAATCTTGCTATTTGGTTTATTTTTAGAAAATTCAACGATACATGAATTAAAGCACTCTGTATAATCTGTAAACTGTTGTATAAATATATGTAGTTATTGACACCATTTATTAATATTTTTCTTTTTTTTGTGATCACAGCTCACAGCAGCCTTGATCTCCTGGGCTCAAATGATCCTCCTGCCTCAGCCTCCCAAGTAGCTGAGATCACAGGTACATGCCGACCCCCTTGGCTTTTTGTTTGTTTGTTTAATTATCTGTAGAGACAGTCTCTCTGTGTTGCTCAGGCTGATCTCAAACACTTGGGCTCAAGTGATTCTCCCATTTTAGCCTCCCAAAGTGCTGGAATTACAGGCATGAGCCATCACACCTAGCCTACTATTTTTCAATGAATTTAATTTCACTAAAAATAAATACATTAAATTTTGGGGTTTTTTTTTGTAAAACTTTATGACCCAATAACTAAGCAGCTCCCTGCTGAGAATGCTTAACACCAACACACAATTGCTTTTATTTCCCATTTAGTGTGCCACTTAAATCTATAGGGTTAGAAGTAACAGTATAGGCATTAAAACTAGAAAATTCTAGGAGAAATAGAGGTGAAACAGTAAACAAAATATTTCATTGACATTGAGCTTTCAGTCATGCTGACAGTTTCTAAAATATTACCAGGATCAGTGCATAGATCTCGCTAATATGACCTAGGAAACAGATTTGATTATTTTGCTTGGAAATGTTAATTCCTTTAACCCTGTAAGTGTTTGCCAATTTATAAATGACTACGTGAATCTTTCTTGTCTTTAGCTATCTTCATAGTCATTCTGGGTAATTATCTAATGTTGATCAGGTTGTGTGACTGATTGATTATTTTAGCCTGTCTGTTAGGTACCCTGAAATTTATGCAATTTCTTGCCCACATTGGTGCCCTGGTAATATAAAACTTTTGGTAGCTACAGTGTGCTTAATTAAGAAGATAGACTATGGAGATTGAATTTTGTTCCTCACAATAGTTATCTAAAGGAGCTGCTCACTAAAAAAATTGTTTTCCTGAAATAAAAAGACTTAACAATTTCATTAAATTGTTGCTTATAGTTTGATTTTATGATGATGTATATTCATAAAATATGATGATATTTGGCCAAGCAGAAAGATAAGTTATACTATAAAGATTGTAACTATCCACATTTTGAAATCAAATGTCATTTGCCTCAGGCTTTAATAATTAGCTCAAAATTTTAAGTTTTGTTGGTATGTGTATTTCAGTAAGGTCTCAAATCATTTCACTGTGATCAAATATGTAATTTTAAGTATATAAATATTTAATTAGAAAAATATATGGATAAGTCACTCTGAAATAAATAACTAACGGATTTAATTACAAATTCAATTTGCCAACAAAGAGTTGTAGAAATCCTACAGGAAGTTTGATTTGCATTTAGTGGCTTCACTGTAAGATTATAACTGGTTTAGCATAGACTGGGTTAAATTATTTTGCAGTGAGGCTTAAATGTAGTCTCTGATAAAATAAAATAAGGAATTATTACTTCTTGTTATTCCATTTTCAAGGCTCCATAAATACACATTTTTTGAATATGTGGTATATTATTCTGAAGTTGAACGTAAAAGTAAATGAATTGCTTCAACCACAACAAAAAACTGTATTCTGTCATTAATTAAAAATGCCCATCTGTGGTAAAATCAAATCAAATCAGTTCTTATGAAATGTACTGAGTTTCAGAACTAGAAAATATCAGTACAAATGTGTAGATGTGCATTTGTATAAACATGCTTATACTTTGAGTGAGAAACTTCTCAAAATTTCTATTGGCCATAATATTTTATGTATAAAATTGAAATATAAAACAGTAACATAACATAATATTCAGTTTATAATACTAGATGAGTACTGTGCTAGTTTCTTAGGGATGGCCTAATAAATTACATAAACTGGATGGCTGAAAATAACAGAAATGTTTTCCCTCAAAATTGTGGAGGCTGGAGTCTCTAAATCAAGACGTTAACAAGGTCAAACTCTCTCTGAAGGCTCTAGAGGAGCCTGCATTGACTCTTCTAACTTCTGATGCTTGTTAACAGTATTTGGCATTCCTTGGCTTGACAAACATCACATCAGTCTCTGCCTCCATCATTACCTTGTGCTATCTCTGTGTGTCTGGACCTCAATGTCCAAATTTCCTTCTTCTTACAAGGTTCTGAGTGAACATTACATGAATTTTCAGAGGTCACTATTCAACTCGGTATCTATGAACACACTGACATCCACATGCTATACTTATATGAAAGGTTAACCTTTCAGGTTTCTGCTGATTTTATTGACTGGTAGCCTTATGTGAGTTTCTAGAGTTTAATCAGATTATTGGCAAAATGTAGTGTAGGCTCAGCAATGTTGAACAGTATATAAATATGATTTAAAAAGACAAGAAAATAGGAACAAGAAGGAGAAGTTACAAGCATTGACACTTAAATAATTGTGTCTGCAACATAATTGCACCTAGCATCTTGGAAAAAAAATAAAGCAAATTAATGGAACTATAATATTTTGGAATTTCTAACCATGAAAACTGATGATAACAATTGAGAAAAATTTTTTCAAGTTTAAAAGTAAGCAAATATGAGGTGCCTCTAAATTACATATATCTAATTTAGATAACATAACACTTAAGGATTCTTTGCCCTAACGTTAGCTTTTTAATTCCCATTTCTTCGAATGGGCCTGGTAAGGCTTTGAAATATACAATGCATTGGGTAGTCAATTCACTGACTAACCTGAGATATTTTGTATCATGAGCTTATTGAAACACGCTTGTTACAATTAGTGTTTTAAAGATAAGAGAATTACTTCTGTCAAATATATGTTGGCAATGATATATGCTGCTGTGAGATCGTTAAATGAAATTTAGTTACAAGTCTTAAAATCACAGCACCGAAATTACTTCATATCTGAGTGATGGGCATATGCCACTGACATATTATTTTCCTTTAGAGTACTACTATGTGACAAATTTAAAATATAGCAGTTAGTATAGGGACATAAAAATAATAGAACTCCGTGAAATTATAAAGTTTTTATATCATTTTCTAAACATAGGAGAAAAATGTTTAAAGTTTGAAAGAAGAAAAATTTTCCTCTAAATATCAAAGTAAAAACGAAAGATCCAAAATTTGTTAATTTTAACATGTCTACAAAGTATGACATTTGACATTTTTATAATTTGTTACTTTATACAGTTTTGATGACTACAGTCAAATTATTCCAAAAGCAAAATTTTAAACATGATTTCAAAATTTTACAGCAAACAGTTTATTTTGATATAGGAAATGGGTGCATTTTAATGTGTAGGGGAATATTTAAATGCCAAGGGCCTGCAGAACTTAAAGCCCCTGTCTAGTAGCTGTTCTCCCACTGAGAAGAACTTGTCAATCAGGAAATCTAAAAGAAAAATAGATGATCAGGCTAAAAGCTGGGAGACTTAGCAAGACAGTAAAGACTTATGGACAGGAACTAAAAAAATAAAGAAAGCTAGAGGTGTGAGCATGGCATTTGGAGATATTTTCTGCTGGGTTCTGCAGATTCAAAAAGAAGCCACTGAGAAGCTGGAAAGCTGAAAATAACTTTTCAGTCTCCTAGGTCTAAGACAGGGGTTTTCAACCTTGGCAATATTAGAATTTTGCACTTGATGATTCTTTGTTGTGAGTGCTGTCCTGTGCGTTGTAGAATGTTTAACAGCATCCCAGGTCTCTAGCTATTAGATACTACTAGCTATACCCTTTCTCTACCAAACTGTGACAACCAAATTGTCTCCATACAATGCCAAATAGTCTCTGAAAAAAAAAATAGTACCTGATAGAGAACTACAGCCTAAGCAATCTGAAACATTATTCTAGGATTTTCAAAAACCAGTTTCCCACTAAATATCCCAGGCTTTAATTGATACCTCAAAAGGTATTTTTATACAACTAAGTGTAAGCGTAAACCTGAAAGCAACTGATCCTGAAAGGGTCTAAACCCCAACTTTAAAATATTTGGATCACTGAAATACTATTAAATGATGTGAGTTTTTTTGTATGTCAAAGGTCCACAGAAGCAAACCTAATGTGACAACATTTTAGGCCAACTATGTTGACAAATTTTTATATTAATTATGTATCGCTTAATCTAACTAAACAAGTACTCAACGAGGGTAGTTACCATGATCAGAAGTCAAGAGAGCATAAAGCCAGAACTTCAAACTGCAGTTATCAGACACAGGCTTTTAAAATATATGTGCAAAATGTTTGAGTAAGTAAATGAAGAGTTATACACTTTCCCAGAAAATCAGAAAGCATAAAAATACATGAATATGAGTTTATAAATTAATGTAAAACTAAAATTAAAGAGGTGGAAGTTCAGGTCAAAAAAACTATCTGACAAAGCTATAGGAAATATAAAATAAGAACATATAGAGTGTGGAGGTAAAGGGTAACAAGAAACAAATTTACCTACCTTCCCCACTGTCAGAAACAACAAGCGAAAAAGAAAATATATTTTACAAATGGAAATAATCTGGACACTATGGCTCATGCCTGTAATCCCAGCACTTTGGGAGGCCAAGGCAGAAGGATCACTTGAGCTCAGGAATTGGAGACCAGCCTGGGCAACATAGTGAGACCTCATCTCTACAACTATGCCTGTAGTCACAACTATTCAGGAGGCTGAGGTGGGAGGATAGCCTGAGCCAGGGAAATCCAGGTTGTACTGAGTTGTGATCATGCTACTGAATTCCAACCTGAGTAACAGAGAAAGGCATTGTCTCAAAAAATATATATATTTTAAAATATATATTTATTATGTATTTATATGTATAACATAAATATATGATATATTTATAATATAAATATAAATATATGATATATTAATATAATAAATTATATATATAATATAATAAATATAATAAATTAATATGATATATTAATAAAATAAATTAAATATAAATATATGATATATTATATAAATATAAGATTATACTTACAATTATATTTATAAATATATAATGTGTATATTATATAAATATAATGTATATATATTTATAAATAAATAAGTGTATCTATACATACATGAAAAGAGCATCAGTGATCTGTTCAACGTTTCCAGATACTATATCTGTAAATGACAAAAAGATTGTTTCCTTTCACATAAGTCCCTGCAGGGGATAGGTCTTAACTAACCTACCAGTCACAATGATGCCATTCACCTCTCTGGGCAAATAAAGCAGTTCTTGTTAATAGGACATAAGGAAAAATCTGTTGGATGCTGTACGGGAAGAGTTCCCTTGGACCTGAAGAAGACATGACAAACTGTCTTCTGCTTTACTTTTATGAATGTTGTGTCAGGAAATGTAAGATGCTATAACCATGAAGGCACCTAGAATGAGAAATAAAGCTGGCAACAGAGAATGGCACAGAAAACAAACTGGAAAGAACCAGAGCACTTGACTCTATTAAGTCACTGAATTAATCCACTGTTACCACAACTTTGGAACTTATTATTCTGTGTGATGATCCTTTGCCTTATTATATGCCACTTTGAGTAGAGTCCTCTGTTATGTGTGGCTGAAAATATCTTAAAATGATTTTCCAAGTTTATAAACTGGAAACTAATGCCCAACTGAATCAAACCAATCTCTAAAAACTTCCAAAGATACCTCTAAATGTCTTTCAACTAGAATTTTTCTCTTTGCTAGCATCTGCGCTACTTCTTAGATAAAAGCAGTAGCTTCCAAAGTTCTTAGGCATAATCCTCATGGTGTTAGTCTGGTATCCTTTTCCAAAACCTTGCTAAATTCAGGTCTAGAATCATGTATGTAAAACATTAATTTTATCAAATCACTCTCCTATGTAAAAATGTCCAGTGATTCTGTGCTAACGAAGTTGTCCTTTGCTTCCTATGTAGGAAATTTCATTATCTGACACATCTCTCTAATGTTATTTCCCATCACCTTCTATCAAAATGCTTTATTTTAAGCCACTGTTAGGTAATTTAATTAGTATCTTTACTTTTTTACAAAAAAAAAATTGCTGTTATGAACATTCCAAGCATTTTTTTCTTCAGTATATGCTTTATTATCTATCTAAAATTTGGTGTTCAAGCCTAGTACCTTTGTTGATACTTAAAGCAAATCTTTCTACATGTTTAGCATGCCACTTTCCACTCAGCATAAACTTCTTCTGTTCATGTCATAGTATTGATTGCAACACCCCATTGATTATATCTCTCTAGGTAAATGCCCTTTCTCTATTGAGAAAGAATTTAAATGTCCTTTCTCTATTGAGAAAGAATTTAAGTTTGAAAGCAGTCACCTCGTTTCTGCTGTTACACGGTCAGTGGTAGCAAATCATTTATTTTCTTATGTTCAAACCTTAGCTTAGTACATGGAAAACAGCTATTGTCTAGCTGATTGTCAAAGCAATGAATAAATGATTTACGCATCAACTTAAACTTTATGGTGAAAGATTATTTGAATCTCGTAACTTTATTGCTAATGAAGTATCAAGTAGATTTTTTTTCTCATTTTGCAAATATTACTGTGGTATACAGAAAGCATGTTTCAAAATGTGTAATTTTCTTGCATTGAAGAATAACAAGTCAATAAAGTGATAAAAGGTATTGAAAAATTGATATTTTTTAAAATACAAAAAAAGCAATTCAGACTTGCAAAGAAGTCCTATGTTTGATGTATTCTAATTGCATATATGATCTTCATGTTATTACTTAACCAATTTGAACCTCAGTTTCTATATGCATACAGGGATAACATTACAGTTATGTACAACATTATGAGAATGAAATAATTTATATTAAACTCTTCTGTGAATGATTAGTAGGTATACAAAGGATAGTTCTAAATTTGCCAAATCCTGCTTCATATATGATCAAAAATATTTGTCAGAGGCAGGGTTTACTATGGCATATATGGCATATCAATTTGTGCTAATCTAGCACATTTACAAAGAAGTAAGAGAATCACAAGTTTTATTGGCTAGAGGTAAACAAAACTTTTTAAAGGCATCTGCACCCATACTGCTGTCTTCCCTACCTTCTCTCTAAATACAAGTAAACTCATAGGTTTTATTATTTCCAAATTATAAAGAGGTTATTTGCTCTTATCTGAAATTATATTGATATTATATCATAAGAATTTGTGTATGTATTCTACTGGGAAATAGTGTAAAAAGTAGTTAACTCACTTCTATGGATAACAAACAAAAAAACATTGTTTAAAGGCTGGATCATCAGTTCATGAATAATATGTAATACACCACTAAAAAAGATGCCTTAAAAACAACATTGCATGACAAGAGTTTTAACAAATGTAGGTGAAAACATGTGAGGGCTTTGTATGTTACGCACTACAGCAGTAATGTCCAATAGACATTGCAATTCTGGAGATACTCTATATCTGTGATATCTTCAGCACTTGAAATAAGGTCAGTGTGACTGAAGAATGACACTTTAATTAATTTAATGCATTTAAATTAATTTAAATGTCACATACTGCCAGAAGCTACTGTATTGGACAAGCAGAGATCTTCTTAATTTGGGAAAGAAAAACAAGTCTCTCAGCTTGAGAGTCATGAGGCACCCATTATGCATGCCCCACTAAGCCCTCAATGGAGAGAACTTGAAAGTCACATAGGCAGGCCACAGGCCCCTAGACAGTCTCAGAGCTGCTAATAACAAGTAGAGAGCCAGGCAAGGTGGTTCATGTCTGTCATCACAGAAAAGTTGCTTAGGCCCAGGAGTTCGAAGCTGCAGAGCTATAATTGCACCAGTGAACTCAAGCCTGGGTGACAGAGCAAGACCTTTTCTCTCTCTCTCTCAATATGTTTAATTAAATATTATATATTTATAAGTATTTATATAAATTTATATATAATTTTAATAATAACATATAATTGGGATTATATATCTAATTAAAAATCTATATATCTGAAAATGAAAAAAAAATTGACAATAAAGGGTGTACTAAAATATATAAAGGATGGAATAATGAAAGAGAATAAACTGCAATACAGGAAAAAGGGAAGCAGACAGAGAATAAAACAAAAGGAATGATGAAGCAGAACTAATTTAAGCCTGTCAAGGATACTTGAGGACCATCACCCAAAGGTCTTACAATGAAAGAAGGAAAACAACCTGTGCATTACAGTGATAACTCTAATAGAGGGTCAAAGAGAAAATCATTTCAATGCTAATGACAAATACTGTAAAACAGTAAGCATAAAGAATAATATTAGAGATAGGAATAATATTAGGGATAGGAATAATATTAGGGAGGGGCCATGTTAAACAAAACTTCCATGTATAGTTGTTCATGTTGTGGCCTGCACAAAAAGATACCTTGATGAGGGCAAATAAGGGGTTAATTTCAGGTGATCCTTCACTTACCAAACAATAAGGCCTGGTGTCATTCTGCATCTGTGAGAAAAAAGGGATAACGCTTCCAATTTTTCTATCTTGAATCACAATCTTTTCTAAGCCTTCCATGCAGGTGTTCTCTTTTTGTATTTGCTCAAATGCATAGTGTATATTTCAGTAGAAACCCCAAAATGAAGTTCCCACAATTCATTCTAGAACTGTGATAAAGGAAGGGTGATAGCTGATTGTATACAAGGAGCAGGGAGATAAAAACACAACAGATATTATAGTTTCTACATTTAAATGATTTGAAACACCTTGAGTATATTCATTTAAATCAAAAATGAATAAATATAGGAGAAAGCTAGAGGTGAAAAAGTTTATAATTTTAGTTTTATATCTATCTGTTTTGTTCTACAGGTATTCTCTGAGTGTGAAACCTGAAATTACAATCATTATGAGACAACGGTGTCTCTACTATAAAAACCATTGTTTTTTCCTTCACGTGCATGTACTTAAAGGTATGATTTTTTTTCATAATAGATGTAAAAAAGAGTAATTGCCATGATTCACAAATAAAAGGTAATTATCTTAGTACATTAAATTTTATAAATGCTAATTTAAATACGATAGTCTGCTATCTTTAATAGGCTATGATATATGTCAATACAATATTAATAAACACCTATAATTCAAAATAAAATGAAAGCACCATTAAAAAGTTAAAGAAAATTAAATGCCACAGGAAAGATTGATATGTATGTCTTATAGATTTCAAAGGAGAAAGTGAATAATTGAGAAGAATCTTCAATAAGGCAGTAATCTCCCATGTAAGTACAGAAAGGTCGTCAGAAGGATTTTTATTGGTTTTAGATGAGTGGATTGTCAATCCTAGCAAAAGAGGGACATAAGTTAAATGAAAGCAAAAAATTGCTGATATATGGTTTGGAGGAGATTTATTAGTCTTATTTGAACAATAAGGCATAGGAGAAGAAATGTGAAAAAGGCAACCAAATCAGTAGAACCCATTTCTAAGCCCCCTGCCTGCCAAACAATCCTTAAAAATCCTAGTCTCCAAATTCCTGGGGAGGCAGGTTTTAGAGACATCTCCCTTCCTCCTTGCTAGATGGCCTTGGGATTATTCAACTTTTTCTCTGCTGTAACACCTGTTTTGTCAGTGTACTGACTTTTTCTGTGGGGCAGGCAAGAAGAACCCACAGGGTTGTAACAGACTATCAGTCCATCATATAAACACAAAACTATTGGAATGGTTTCCATAACTGAGGGATTATTTTTTCACTCCTTCCTTTTCTTGAGGAACTACCACATGTCAAGGATACAAAAATAAGAGCCCATGATGACATTTGGAAGGGATTATAAGTATAAAAGGCATTACTTGCATACTGCATTTCCACATGAACTCTGTCTGATTTTAATACATACACATGAAAATTAAAAATTATTACTATTTGCAAATGATGCTTTAAAAATGTTCTCTACTATGCATTGTGTTCATCAAAGCCTGAAAATATATACCTTTGAACTTGCCTTAGACCTTCTTAAAAGTTTCAAAATGTTTCTAAATTATATTTTCTAAGTTTGCAAATGTAACTCATGGAGTGATATTGGATTTCAATTCACTTCCATAACCCAAGCACTGCCTTGATATCTTTAGACCTTTCCAGGAGAATGGAATTCTATTAGCAAATGCATAACAATATAGGACAGCAGTAATTAGCTGCCCTTTCTATTTCTCTCTTTACATAAGATGGAAAATTTTAATTTATAATTCAATAATTAGTTTTACATTCTTTTGGCACATCCTTGAAAAGTTGAGTTTATTGAATAAAAAAGCATTATGTACTGGTGATTTCCATGATTAAAAGCTTTCGTGATTACATTATAATGTCTTTCTTATGTAAGACCATATAGAAAAAGAAAAGAAAACGTTGCTACAAGTCTCTTTTTTTTTGTAATATTACAGCAACATAAAATAGCAGCAAATTTTGAGGCTTTTTAGAAAAGAAATTACCTATTATTAAATTTCAAATTAAAACCTATCCCACTGAGTGATGTGACTGCTATAAATTTTGCTTAAAAAGAGATTGTCTTATTAAATTTAACATCAATTCCTGTTGCAGTTGACTTAAATGTTTAAAATTTTAGGCTGGATGCAGTGGTTCACGCCTGTAATCCCAGCACTTTGTAAGGCCAAGGTGGGTGGATCACAGGAGGTCAGGAGTTCGAGACCAACCTGACCAACATGGTGAAACCCCGTCTCTACTAAAAATACAAAAATTAGCTGGGCATGGTGGCATGCACCTGTATTCCCAGCTACTCCGGAGCCTGAGGCAGGAGAATCACTGGAACCTGGGAGGCAGAGGTTGCAGTGAGCCAATATCGTGCCACTGCACTCCAGCCTGGGCGACAGAGTGAGACTCTGTCTCAAATAAATAAAAAATTAAATTAAAAAAAAACAGTAAGTTTTAACTAAATATTCAAAGACTTGAGGTAAATTATAAATTACCTCTATATCTTCTTAGTATTTGTAAGTTGACGGTCACAAATACATTTTTACAAGTGTTAACTGAAACATATATTTTCCAGACATAATGGATTTGGGGAGGTTATTGGTCTGCATTAATTTTAGATGTCTGACAATCTTAGTTTACGTTAACAATATTTATGCTTCAACTAACACTGAAAATCTGTCTGTATTTTACCCATTTAAAGATTGTTCAAATTGAAAATTTTACATTTATAATAATATTTCAGAACTCTATATATTCTAAAGAATTATTTTGTATTACACATGGAGTAGTAGTATTTAATGTTTACATTAAGGATATATATACATAGAAAGAGTTAAATCATTTTATTTAATAATTTGTCAAAATCTTAGTGAACTGTCAAACCTGTGAGAAGAAAACTGGCTAGTCTATTGTCAATTTGAATAACGAGTGTTTACGTTTTATTGTTCATATTATTGATCATATTTGAGGATGACATTGTTAATGATCATTGTCTTGTGTGCATCAATCATAGAAAAATACTGCTAATGATCTCTGCACCCTGCAGCACCCCAGCGGGTGATTCACCAGCAAATGCCTGTAGGCTACTGGGAACCTCATGTCTGTTTTCTGCTGTCAGCTCACACATCTGTCTGCCACTGCCATAGGAGAAAAGAATGGCTTTTCCCTTCCTGCCTTCCAAAGCTTGTACGAGTATCTATCCTTGACAGCATTTCAACTGGAAATAGCTGGCAGGGTATTCTGGCAAATATTATTTGCACATTTTTCCAGGGTAAGTAAGGGAAAATGCAGAAAGGGCAGGAATGCCGCTGAAATGACAAGAAAGAATCTGCATACCGCTTGTGACAGGATGGAAGAAAAGACAGAAAGAGGCGTTTGGCTTTTATCCCTAATGATCATATTTAGGGAAGAAGGGAAATATTTAAATGCTAAGTTATGAAATTGCACAAACATATGATCTGAGGGGTTGCTGAAAACATGGAATCTATGCACAGTGAACTGAAGCGTCTTTCCCTAGGTTGAACCTACAACAGCGTGATTGAAAATGTGCTGTGAGACAGCTGGCCTGCAGCAAAGCCTCCTGCTCCCTAGATCATTCCCCTGCTGCATGTCTACACGTATCAGTTTATTTAGCATTATTTTCTTCTTGAAGACAAGTTGTGACTAGCATTAAAACAACATGGATTTTTAAAAAAGGAAGGAATGAGTGAAGGGAGAGAAAGAAAAAGAGACAGAAAGGGAGAGGGATAAAAATAACAATTTTTGAATGCCAGATTATACATCAAAATAATTATGTAAAAAAGCAGAAGTATCCATAGATATAATTTAAAAGAAAATAAATATCACGTGGTGCTTTACTGCATAGGATCTGAACTTAGTTGTTCCCGTGACCTTGACTCCAGAAGGATTCAAAAAGGCATGTCAGTGAAAGATTCCTTGAATATAAGCAGCTGTGGCCTCATCCTAAACGTGTGGCACCACTACTGAGGGCAGCAACATCTTTGCCTAGATCTTGTTTAGCATGGTGTTGAATTGTGTAGAAGTAAATTAGTTTCCCTTGGTTCTTTCTCATTTTCAAAACTAAGTTGTTCAATTTTCCTCTTGATTCTGAATCATGTTCTTTGTTTCCCGGTAAATTCATTTTCTAATTATGTTAAATAGAATAAGTTTCTTGCTGATGTAAAAATTGAGGCCCTATAGTGCATTTCAGACAAGAGATTCTGAGGGACACTGTTAATTTGAAATGAGCTACAGAACATTTGGAGTTGATGGAAGTGAAAATTCAGCGGTATAAAGAGTAAGAAATATGGTAAATTATGGTATGCAATTGTTGGGGTCCAGAAACAATATCCCAAAATACAGCGTTTTTACATATTGAACTAAAGAAGCAGCCTCAAGATCTCTCTGATCTTCCCCCACCTTCCTGTCATTCAATCTTCTGGTCCTCCCAAGGCACAGGATAAAGCCATTCTCTGAAGTTATTTTATCTGTCGAGATCCTTGACTTCCAAAGAGGAACAAAATTGCTTTCCATCCCCTGCCTAAAGTCTTATTATCTATCATAGAAGACTGAGGAATGCAACCACATCTGGATGCACTATTTCACAAGATAGTATCTGCCTCTCAGTTTCATTCCAATTTTAAAGAGAATCATTTACAAGTTAATGTTTATGTCTACTGCAACCATTCATTTCCACTGAAAGTTTTCTATTCCTATGCACCCCACTTTCCTCTAACCAATAAAGAGGGTATTTCGCACCAACCATCTGGTTCTTCTCTTCAGTTTTTATAATTTGTATGACTCCCATGCACACTTGTGTATGTACTAAATTTGTTATACTTTTCTCTTATTAACCTGTCTTTTGTTACATGGATGTTGGCCATAACACTTTATGGTGGGGATAAAAGGGATTACCTCATTTCTACTTTACACATTGGTGATACAGCTTATTACATTATTATCCATTAATCTCTGGAAGGAAAACCTCTTTGAAAGAAAGGTCTTTAGGAAATTGAAAACCTTTAATACTTGTTGAATTTGCAAAAAGACAGTGAAGGACTCCGCTTATATTGCTACACAAGGAAAAATAAATATTCAATGGAGAAGTAGCTTGAAACAGGAGAGGAGTAGAGTCACCAATTTTGAGAAGTAAAGTCTATTTCCACACTCCATACCTGCGGGATCTTCTGAAGAAATACTCACCTCAATAGCGTGCAGTAAGGCAGACTATATCTTAAGGAGTTTCCAAAAGAAGATTTTTTTCGCTCAAATTACAGGTAGTTCTCTATAAATAGGTTATAAAATCAGTTTGGTTAGTTCCAATAAGAATTTTTAGTGAAATAAATAGTAAAATAAAACAGCAGTAAAAATATGAATAGTAAAAGTAGGAAATGTATTATGTATATAATGTAGAGACTTGTAGAAGTATTTTGTGTTTGTCTGTATTGGGTCATGATGAAAAATGTGTTTCTAATGGTGGAACTGGTCAAAAATTTAAAAATTACTAGCTTAACAAAGCAGAAAGGAATAGAGGTAAGATGGAGTCATGAGACTTTTAACATTGCTGTCAAAACATCTAAGAGCATTGTTTATTTCTTATTCAATTATTTTACTATATTTTTCTTTATCCACAGATATCACACAGATAAGAAGCTGGACTATCTCATATTATGTTGCCCTAGAACAGGAGAAATTCAAACTAAGGCAACATTATTCAAGGGAAGGCAACCCATAAACCTCTGACATAGAATTTGCTCTTCAAGAGAGATCATGTACTCCAAGCAGCCAAAAAATATTATCTATGAAAGAGAGTTAGAAAATAAATAGAAATTCTTAGCAAACAGAAAACTCATGTACATACAATTGCATGATACATGTGTTAATTTTAAACCTTCATTGGAAAATTTGAAACATTCTATATAAAGTTTTTATTAATAAATTATGAGAAAATATCTCCACTAAAGGTTATTCACTTAGTCCAATTATTTCCAATTTTACTGGAATTGCACACATGCTCACCTGAGGTGCTTTTCCCTTACCAGTCTGAATGTTCCAAGGAGGTCATGTCAACAGTTAAAGACTGCCATTTTGCCTCTTAGTGCGCATGTGTGAGCCCTCTCATCCGACTCCTGAGATCTTATCAGGAAGCTGCTGATCACCAGCTTCAGGTGTTTCTATTTATTGGGAGACTGTCTTTCCCTGGCACCAGCTGCAACCAATGATTACTTTAGAGAGACAGTTTAACAACTGCCTGACCATCACCTGATGGTCATCTGACATTCCCAGTGAGTGGGGTCCCTCTCCACTCTGCTTATGTCTGACTAGCTACCTACTGTAACATTATTACAGGAATCCTTAAAAAAAGAGAACTCTCTTCAGCTGGAGCCAGAAGAGATGCAATAGGAGGAGTGAGAGTTTAGAAGTATAAAATGCACTTGTCCCTTTGCTGGCTCAACAAGGCAGGAGGCAATATGATGAGGAAAGCAGGTGGCCTTAAAGAGCTAAGAGAAGTCCCAGAAAGGCAGGCAGCAAGGAAATGGGGAACCTCAGCATTACAACTACAGGGAATTGAATTCTGCCAACAATACTTCTCCCTGACCATCACCTGACCATCAGGTGATGGTCAGGCAGTTGTTAAACTGTCTCTCTAAAGTAATCATTGGTTGCAACTGGTGCCAGGGAAAGACCGTCTCCCAATACATAGAAACACCTGAAGCTGGTGATCAGCAGCTTCCTGATAAGATCTCAGGAGTTGGATGAGAGGGCTCACACATGCGCACTAAGAGGCAAAATGGCAGACTTTAACTGTTGACATGACCTCCTTGGAACATTCAGACTGGTAAGAGAAAAGAATTAAACATCAAATCTTCCCTCAGGGACTCCAGATAAGAGCCCAGGCCAAAGGACACCTTGATTTTGACCTTGTCAGACCTGGAGTTGAAAAACCAGCTGCACCCTTCTAGAATTCTTACTTACAAAACTGTAAGTCAATACATTTGTTCTACTTTGCTAGTTTTGTGGTACTTTGTTACTGCAGCAATAGAAAACTAATAAATATACGAACTTAAATATTTATTCTTTATATCTTAAATTGAATGTTCAGCTACATAGTGACAATTATTCCATAAAAATAAATATTGATTCATAATATATTTTTTTATTTAGGATACCCCTAAAGTGAGTTAGGCTTTGCATTGAGGAATCAATAGGGTGATATGAAAACGCTAAGACTAATATCTTGTGCTTAAAATTCTTAATGTGATTTTTGTTAAGTATTTACTCTTTAGTGATTTCTCCATTTGATAACTTTGCAAAATTTTTCACTTTAAAAAATGGGCAATCTAGAAATATTTTATTTCCTCTCAAATGGATTATGCAGATATTTACCAATACTAGGCAAGCATAGAAGTAAAAACCATTATGATGAAGAATAAGTACACAAAATAGTTTGTTTATTATGAGTCATTAATTTTGACTTTGTATAACATAAGAAGATCAGAAAAAAATTGCAGTGAGCTTTGTTAAACACTAACTTTGATCTTAAAATTTTTAACTCCATGCTCTCTCGAATAATAAGAAATGTGTAAATATATATCTTATGTTCTGGCTTAACTAAATTCCTTATTTTCTTCTCATCAATAAGTACTGTCTTTTACCTTTTTAAAGTGAATGAAATTACAGAATAAAAATTTAAATAAAATATTCAGTAAGTTAGTGTGTATTTCTTACTAGAAAACTCTAAATAGCATGAAGGACTTATTTTAATTTTTACTTATTTTCTCATTGAACACAAACTACAGATATAACCGTAAATTTTTACTTTGGATTCTTAAACCTTCAGGACTTGCTATGATCCTTTGTCTTTAGTATTTAAGCTTTCTTTGTGGGCATGAGCTGAGAGAAATGTAAAAAAATAATAATAAACTTTGTCCATATAGAAAAGGGAACCACACACACACACACACACACACACACCTGCACACACTAAATCTCTAAGCTCTTGAGAAAATAACAATTTCCCCTGGATTTCATGAAAGAAACAGATGGACAGACCCTTAGGCTCAGGGTGGAAGTGATGGTAGGAAGCTGGGTGTGTGTATTAGGTGAGCTGAGCTTGATAAATCCTCTAGCTCTGCCTCCCAGGCTTTGAAACACTATTGAAATATCTGCAGCATTTTTCTATTTCTATTTTTAACAAGAAATAGAAATTCCAATTTGAAAAATAGGTCAAACCAATTTGGGTAAATAAAAAAATGTTAGACTTCTCTACCCATACTAAGCTACTGAAAGTAACCCCATGAATCAGAAAAAAAAAATCCTTTAAATTCTATAAGCAAATTAAAACTATGTAACTTATTCTGTTAACATATCATACAAGAATTGAAAGGAATAAGTAAACATTATTAGTTATGTGGTTATTTTTTACTATATGCCAAAATATTATTTTTATAGTAATAAAAATTTATATTATAATACACTGACAAATTGATCAATGCAACATAGAAGAGAGTCAAAAAACTGATATAAATTATAAATGATATAGTACTTGAAAAAATAATATATATTTAATATCATAAAGAAATTAAAAATCATTGACATATGCTTACTTTATATTTGAATGAAAGACATATTTTTAACCTTTAAAAGAGTTATTATTTGATGGTAAGTTCTTTACTGATATAACTACTATTGGTTCTACTATTACTCTGACTATATTTTCCATAAATATTACAAATTAGGTCTAGTGAACTAATAGATACATGACATGTGGAAAAGATCTGTGCTTCAATGAAAACTATGCATTATTTATGGCACATTTCACATTACATTATTTTGATTCTATAAGCTTCTTTGCAACTCTGTTAAGTGGTAGATAATTAATAGAAATGCAAAATAATTCTTGTCTATAGACATGAAACTGAATTGTTCCATGGAGAGATAATCTTCTCACTCTTAATACTCAAGGATGAGTTTTGGATCTGTTTACAAATTCTTGCCAGTGTTCCTGATACATAATTGTGAGGAAACAGTGAAGTGCAATAACTGATTCAAAGGAGAACCCCAAACCTACACACACTTGACCCAGCAATCCCATTAGCAATCCAAAGGAATATAGATTGTTCAACCATAAGGACACATGGATTCATAAGTTAATCACAGCACTATTCGCAATAGCAGAGACATGCAATCAACCTAAATGCCCATCAGTGGTAGACTGGATAGAGAAAATGTGGTACATATACACCATGGAATACTATGCAGCCAAAATAAAGAATAAGATAATGTCTTTTGCAACAACATGGATGAAGCTGAAGACCATTATCCTCAGTGAACTAATTCAGGAACAGAAAACCCAACACCATCTGTTCTCACTTATAAGCATAAATTAAACACAGAGTACATATAGACACAAAGAAAGGAACGATAGACACCAGGGCCTACTTTAGGATGGAGGATGGGTAGGAGGGTGAGGATAAAAAAATCTACCTATCTTGAGACTAGCCTGACCAACACGGAGAAACCCCGTCTCTACTAAAAATACAAAATTACCCAGGTGTGGTGGTGCATGCCTATGATCCCCGCTACTCTGGAGGCTGAGGCAGAAGAATCGCTTGAACCTGGGAGGCAGAAGTTGCGGTGAGCCGAGATGGCACCATTGCACTCCAGCCTGGGCAACAAGAGCAAGACTCAGTCTCAAAATATATATATATATCTACCTATCAGATACTATGCTTATTATCTGGGTGATGAAATAGTATGGACGCCAACTCCCCACATCATGCTATTTAACTGTAGAACCAATCTGTACATGTACCCTTGACACTAAAAAAAAAAAAAATTAATTAAAAAAAGGTAGTGGATATTTAGTCAGTTCCACATTTTGTGTTATACTGGGACAGGCTCAAATCCATGACAAAGAGAATCTCTAAAGAGTAACTTTAAAGGTTATGTAAATTTCTGAAGTTGGGCCATCTTATTATTTTCTGTTAACATATCAACATATTTTTAAAATGGTTAAAAAATGGTACATTTGTATAGGACACTTAACCACAAATGCAGCTTGCAGGACGGGAAGTTACACCGGTTGAGTCAATGAATGAGTGGTGAGTGAATGTGAAGGCCTAGAACATTATTGTATATAGCTGTAGACTTTATAAACACTGTGTACTTAGGCTCCACTACATGTATTTAAAATACTTTTTCTTTCTTCAACAATTAATTAGCTTACTGTAACGTTTTAATGTCATTTTTATACCTCTTGTAATCTATCATCTCTCACCTTCACACACACATAAAAATCCTTCACTTCTCTAACCCTTATTATGTCTGTTACTGACGAAGAGTCAGGAAGAGCCTTGATCATCAATTAAAAATGACTTGAAAATGTTAGTAGTTGAAAAAATGGCACCTCCTTCTTTAAAAGGCCAGAAGATGATCCTTTAATTTCAGGTATCTTATTCACTATTTGAGAAGAGGCAAATGTTTGCTTTGCTTACTAAGTAAATTTACCCATCCCTTCCAATCTGTGGCATAAACTTAGTGACTACTTCCAATGCAGATAAAAAGAAAAAAAAATGAGAAAGGAGGAAAACCAAAAAAAGTAGTTTTCGAAATAGTTGAACATGTTTTCATAGAAATAATAAAAACACATTGAATATCCAGCTCTCTAATATGAGTTGATTCTAGTTCTCTTCTCCTCAGCCTCGTGAGGCAGTCAACTTTGCTACTGGCAGCCAGGAGTCTCCTAGGAGCTTCAATAGCTCAATACATCCAGAAAAACAGAGAAAGGGAGAAAGAGTGGCAGGGAGGAGAGGTTAGAGAGAGAGAGGGAAGTTTCTGAATCAAAGAGCAGAGGTGAGATATATTTCTGTCTTCTTTAAGATTGTATTTACTTGTCATTTTTCTGGTGCCCCTTAACTCTGTATTCAGAACCCCTTGTCCCCAGAGCCAACCATCAAACCCCCAAATAATATGCTAACTTTTCCTCTACCTTGTTTGTGTAAAAACTGGCTTTAAAGAAATTATCTGGCCTACCTTGTTTGATTGTTTGTCATAAGACTCCCATTCCAGAGAGGGTACTGTCCATACCCAGAAGGAAGGAATTCATGCTCAAGAGAGGCCAAGAGACTCTAGACACACAGGTTGTGCTGGGTTTACCCACTCAGTCTATTAGCATTAGATCATGTTTTTTGCCCAATAGTTTTTCTACATGGCTGTGCATACCTAAGCATAAAAATGGGCAATATTCCCTCTACCTTTGAGTCTGTATTCTGAAGCCTCCTGTGTTATATAAAACTATGATCAAATACATTTTTATGTATTTTTTCCTATTAATTTCCTCTTGTCAGTGATTTTTAGTGAACCTTGAAGGTGAGAAGGGAAAATTTTTCTTTGGTCCATACAAAAGTAATTTTATCTTTTTTCTTATACATTAAAGACACATTCATAGAAATCATTTCAGTATTAGAGCTATATCATTCTAAAATAGATGATATTAAGACATGTTTTTAGAAACATATTTAAATAGAATTTAATATACTTTAAAAGCATACATAGATGTCATCACATAACCGTTTTTTTCTGCCTTGTTAATTAGTGAAAAAGGAGAAAAATAATTAATTATAAATGTAAAAATTTGATTTTAAAATTTAAGACAAAGTTCAATTTATGAATAACCATTTTTTGTATTTGTTTTAATCATATGTGTGTGTGTGTGTGTATATATATGTGTGTATATATATATATATATATATATATACAGTCATATATCGCCTACTGATGAGAATTTTCTTTTGACATGAAGCTGAAGCTATAGAACTGAAGTTGCAAGTTCTCTCTGTGTTTCATGTGTCTGTAATTGAGAAAATTTTACTTTTTATTAAGAGTGTGAAATATTTTCCTATTTCTGCAGAATATTAAAAATTCATTAAGCTATCCTACAAAATAAAAAATATGTTTTGATTGGTTTGCATAAGTTAAAAAACACAATACTTAAGAATGTGCAATACTTAATATTGCATATTTTATTTTGTACCTTTAATTCATACTTTTTATGGCTGAAGAGTATTCCATTGTGTGGGTATAACACAATGTATTCATTCACTAACCTCTTGATGGACATTTGCATGGTATACAGGATTTGGCCATTACAAATGAAACTGCTGTATGAATATTCATGTAAAAGTTTTTCTACTAAATAATGCTTTCCTTTCTTGTAGGTAAATAGCTAAGAGTAGAATGTCTGGGTTGTATGGTTGGTGTATGTTTAACTTTTAAAGAAATTGCAATTTCCTAAAATAGTTGTACTAGTTTACAATTTCACCATCACTGTATGACAGTTTCAGTTATTTCATATCTTCACCAAAACTATGTTCTTTCTTTTGACTTTTAGACATACTTATGGGTGTGTAACATTATGTAATTGAAAGGTTTATTGTAATTTCTCTGAAGACAAATGATTTCAAGTATGCTTTCAAGGGCCTGTATGCCAACTATACTTCATTGATGGGGTGGTCTAACTTGTTTTTTTTTTTTTTTTTTTTTTTTTTTAAACAGAGTTTTGAAAGTTGTTTGTAGATAATAAAGCCTTTTTAAAGGTTTTGTAATTTGCAGTTATTTTCTCCAAGTGTATTGTTTCTCTGTTCATTCTCTTACAAGTGATTTCTGAAAAACAAGAGTTCTTAATTTTGACAAAGTGAAATTTGTTAACATACACTGTATGAATTATTTATGTAGTATTATATCTAAGAAAATTTTGTCTAACACAAGGTCACAATAATTTCATTCTTTTTTTCTAGATGCTTAATTATTTTGATTTTTAAATTTAGTTCTATAATTCATTTTGGGTTAATTTTTAATATTATGTGTTATTGGTCAAAGTTCACTATTTTTAATATGAGCATTAAATTGGTCCAGCATCATTTGTTAAAAAGATTTATTTTGTCCAGTGAATTATTTTTGAATCTTTGCCAACAATCAATTAACCTTATATGTATGGGTCTACTTCTGAACTATCAAGGCTGTTCCACTGACTGATTGATTTTTTACTTTATTGTTGCCAATACCAAACTGTCTTGTTTACTGAAATTTTATTATAATTCTTGAGGTCAGGTAACGGGACTCATTTCACTCCGTTTTTTGTTTTCAAAATTGTTCTTTGGAACAAATATTTGGCAAAAAAATATTCTAGGTGACTTCCTTTTCCATATAAATTTTAGAACAAACTTGTGAATTTCTATAAAAATGCATGCTGGGACTTTGATTGGTAGGTATTGCATTGATAGATCAACTTGTGGTGATATTGTTCCACTTATTTAAGCCTTCGTTAATTTTTTAAAACAGTGTATCATAATTTTCAAAGTATGGGTCTTGTACATGTTTTGTCATATTTATACCAAAATTTTTGTATATTATAATGCTTTAAAATGGTACCTTTTAAAAAATTTCAATTGTACATTGACATAAAATAAAATTTACTGTGTATACTGATCTTGTATCCTACTACCTTAAAAACCTTCTTATTATTTCTAGTATCTTTTTGTAGATTCCAAAAAAAGTTATGTAGATGACTTGCATGACTAAAGATGCTTTTATTTCTCCTTGTTTAAACTAAATTATTTTGTTTTTTTTCTTATCTTATTCTACTGAATAAAACCTCAAGTGCAATGTTGAATAGAAATAGTAAGAAAAAAAAACTTTGCCTTTTCCTAGTGTGAGGTTGAAAGCATCGGTCTTTAACCTTTAAATGTGCAAAAGATGTTAGTCTCTGATATGCTAATGAATATGGGTATTATTATTTAATATTTTAACTTTTATTTTAGGTTCAGGGGTATACATGCAGGTTTGTTTTATAGATAAACTCATGACTTGGGTGTTTGGTGTACAGTTTGCTTAATCTCCCAGGTACTAAGCATAGTACCCAGTAGTTTTGTTTTTGTTTTTTTCCTGAAGCTCTCCCTCCTCCCACTCTCCACCCTCAAGTAGGCCCCAGTTTCTGTTGCTCTCCACTTTCTGTCTATGTGTTCTCATTATTTAGGTCCCACTTATAAGTGAGAACATTCAGTATTTGCTTTTCTGTTCCTGAATTAGTTTGCTAAGGATAATGGCCTCCAGTTCCACCCATGTTCCTGCAAAGGATATGATCTCGTTCTTTTGAACATAGATATCAAATTGGTTGAGCGTCACCTGTTGAAAAGACATCTCTCCACTGAATTTCTTTGAACCTTAATCATGGAAATTATGGAAAAATATTTTTAATATTATAATTGGTCTGATTTTTTAAGCCAATATTTAAAAGTCAAATGTCATGAAAAAATTCAGATCACTGCTGTTAAAAACAAGTGTTAAAATAGCAAGCCCACCTAAATACAAAAGGTTCCAGGTGGGGCATGCATCCTTCTGATTGCCTAGTTATTATCACTCTTTATTGTCTCTTGATAATAATGGCAAGAACCAGTTTTTATTTCACATCATGCCTTATTTTCTTAGAGTAGAATAACATTTTTAGAGACATATTTTTAACATAGAGTTCTTTCCAAAATAGAAACTTGAGACTAACAGACTGTAAAGATTTGACATTTCAGTAGAACTGGGAGAGGTAATTTTTTGTTGTTGAAAGAAACAATAGTTCTACAAATTCAATATGCAAATAATTCTGTGTAATTTCTTTTTACTGTAGTAGGAATACTTAACATGAGAGCTGCCCTCTATAATTTTTAAGTACACAATACAGTATTGTTAACCCTAGGCATAACTGAAAGTATACCCATTGAACCACTCTCCATTTCCCCTCCTGCCCCACCTGCTCCTGGTAACTACTATCCTACTCTCTATTTCTGTGAATTAGACTATTTTGTATATCTCATATAACTGAGATCATGTGGTGTTTATCTTTCTCTAACTAGCTTATTTCACTTAGCGTGATGTCCTGCAGGTTCACCCATTTTCTCATGTATGACAGGATTTCCTTCTTTCTAAAGGATAAATAATATTCCCTTGTTTGTATATACCACATTTTATATACTCAGTAATCCATCAATTGACATTTAGGTTTTTCCACATCTTGGCTATTGTGCATAATGCCGAAATGAACATGGGAGTGTATATATCTTTTCAAGATCCTCATTTTAATTCTTTTATACATACTGAGTATATACTCACATGTGAGATTGCTGGATCATATGATAGTTCTATTTTCAATTTTTTGAGGACTCTCCATATTGTTTTTCACAGTGGCTACACCATTTTACATTCCCACCTACACTATACAAGAGTTCCAAATTCTTACATCTTTGCCAATACCTTCCTTTTTTTTTCTTTTTGATAATAGCCATCCTAAAAAGTGTAAGATAATATCTCATTGTGGGTTTTATTTGCATTTCTCTGATCATTACTGATGCTGAGCATATTTTTATATACCTATTGGCTATTTGTATATCTTCATTTGAAAAATGCCTATTCACATCATTTATCCATTTTTTAAAAAGATTTTTTTTTTGTTTTTTTTGTTTGTTTGTTTTTGCTATTGAGTTGTATAAATTCCCAATATATTTTAGATATTTACACCTTATCAGATATATGGTTTGGAACTATTTACCCCTTATCAGATATATGGTTTGGAACTATTATATTTTCTCCCATTCTGTAGGTTGCCTCTTCACTATGTTTATTATTTTCTTGACTATGCAGAAGCTTTTTGGTTCAAAAAACTCCCACTTGTTTGTTTTTGCTTTTGTTGCTTGTGCTTTGGTGTCAAAATAGAAAAAAAATTCATTGCCAAAACCAATTTATCTTCTTTTCCTGATACTTCCATAATGCATGAATTGGCTTCTTTGTGGTTTCCCATAAATCTTTTAAGCTTTTGTTACTCTTTGTTACTTTATTTTATTTTATTTTTATTCCTCTGATGGATAATTTCAAATGACCTTTCTTAGACTTCACTAATTCTTTCTTCTCTTTGATTAAGTCTGTTGTTGAACCCCTCTGGTTAATATTTTAGTTTGTTTGTTGTATTTTTAGCTCCCAAATTGGTTTGTTCCTCTTTTACAGTTTTTTTGTCTCCTTATCAATATTTTCATTTTGTTTAAGTGTTTTCTTATTTCATTTAGTTGCTTATCTGTGTTATCTTGTTACTCACTGAGATTCACTAAGATGATTGTTTTGAATTCTTTGTCAATTAATTCATGAGTATCCATTTCTTTAGATTGGTTATTGGAGATTTATTTTGTTCCTTTGATTGTATTATATTTTCTTATTTTTCATGTTCCTTGTATCTTTGTGTCAATTTCTGTGCATTTGAAATAGAAAGCCACTTCTCACAGTCTTTACTGACAGGGAAAGATGTTTACCGTTCAGCTTTGCTAGGGATTCTGGGAATCTCTAGAACCCTTTTTATAGATAGGTCTTGTCTGGATTTGTGCACGTGGATTTATAATGAGAGATTTTCTAGTTGTTTTTGGTTCTCCTCCTCCTCCTCCTCCTTTTCCTCCTTCTCTTCCTTCTTTTCTTCCTCCTTTTCTTCTAAAACCTCTAATCTCTTATTCCCTCTAATGTCTGACCAAAGTACTGCTGTCTGAGACATTGGAGGCATACTGTGCTCCTCTTCTTCCCTCCCTGTGGAGAAGCCTTAAGTTACATGCCTTCATCCAGTCTTGCAGAGTTGTGTCTAATGCAGCAAGATGCCTGCCTGTTTTCTTTGTTCCTAGCTGTCTCCAGGCATCCAAACTATGCCTGTTCCATCAGTACTAAGGGTGAGGTGAGAGAGAAACTAGTTCCTTGGATAACACACCAAATGGCCAGAATGTTGAAGGCATATTTCACTCCTCTTCTTTCTTCCTTGTCGAGAAGCCTCAGGTTCTGCACCTTCTCCGCTTTCTTGCACAGCCATGTTGGATGCAGTAAGCCACCCACTCCTTTCCTCTCTCCTTAGCTGTTATTGGGACATCCAAACTATGCCAATTCCATCAGCACTCCAGATGAGGCAAGACAGAAGCCAGTCCCTCCCTCGGGCAGACTATGAAAAGCCTGGATACATTAGATGCATACTTCCCTCTCTCTTTTTCCTTCAGGGAGATGTTACAAGACAAGATGATTTCACTGGAAGCTGAGTTTTGCCAGCTTTGGGGAAATGCTGATGCAGGTAAAGCGAAATTTCTCTTCTTACCAATTTCAATGTAGCTGTTATTAATTTTGTGGTTGTCCAGGCTACTGCAACTTCTTAACAAAATTCTGGACTTCTTAAAAGGGTATTTTGGTTTGTATATTATTTTTAAATCAGTTTTTCTGTGAGGGGTAAAGCCTGAGACTTCTTATTCTGCTGTCTTTCTTATGTTCTTCACAAAATAATCTTAATCAACATATTTTATTTACTATGCTTTCCTTCTTATTTAGTTTAAAACTTCTTTTTGTCCTTTATATTTTTTATTTCTTGTTTTCATATGTAAATGATCTACTTAAAGCCTATTAATGCGTTAGAGCTAATGAATGTTGTATGCAAATAAAATATATTATTATATGCATCTGCTTTTTATTTTTTTTATTCTTAGGATGTCTGACATTTTCAAGTAAATTTTTTTCCCTAAAATCGCATGTAAAATCAAGGCATAGAAATACAATAGTAGTATGCAAATTATTTATAAATATAATAAGAAATGGGTAACAAAAAGAAAAGAATAAGTATAAGCAATAAATTAAGTAAACTGTAATGACTACAAGATAGAAAAATTTCTTCTAATTATAATTCTCTAATTATAATGTTTTGCTAAAGATAATGCTATTAGAATTATAAAAGCTGAAATCAGTAGCACATAATGTTAATAAATTATTTTGTTTAAACCCCAGAACATCATTTATTTAAGGCTGATACTCATGGATAGAAGAGTCAAAGTGCGAATATATGCACCCTTCTATACGGATTCTGCAGAAAGATATGCTTGGGTCATGACTCAGGTGAATTTCCTATGAAACTTTGTCTTTGGTAAAGCATCCCATTCTTGGCTGTTCCATATATATATATATGGTAAGTTTGGGAGTGGCCTTGCTAGTAAAGAATAAATTATTTACTTGGTTCTAGCTATTTACAAAGTTGCTGGTGACTAATTGCTGGAAAGAAGCTGGGACGTTCTGTGGCCCCTCCATTTTATATCCCCTCCCTTTGGTTCTCTAGGAAATTGAGTTCAGGAAAGCTACCAGGAATAAAACTCTTACTTTTTATGCATGTGTATTTTTTTTCCAGACAATTTGGAGAGAATTCCCTGAAACATTCACTGTACAACTCTACTTTCTTGAATACTTACTATAATTAAAGTTCATTTCTGATTTACATAAAGACCAATGAGCATGCTAGAGAATTTCTGCTTCAGGTAGTTATTCAAGAAAACAGTACTATGGAAGCTTTACCATCTTCACTTTGTGGATTTCATATCTATTTCTACCTGGAAAAGAAGAGAAAGATAGAGTACAAAATTGCAAAAGGGGTTTTTATAGGCAATGACTTCAAGTGTAGCATATTACTTCTACCTGCATTCCATTGTCTGGATGTGGAATTCACTCATATGTGTACATTTAACAGCAAGAAAGATAGAGCTAGTTCCCTTAAGAAAAGAGAGAGGTATTCACTCAATAGCTCGATAATTTCTGCCACAATGAAAGTAAGATATGCATTACAAAATTGTTCTATTCTCTTTTCAAATAACTCATTTTAAATTGGTTGCTGAGACATTTCCTTGGAGCATAGTAACAGTTTCTTACTCACTCAACATAATTTCCATAATGCAAATGAAAAAAAAACTGGTAAATATAGGTTATAGTGTTACTTGTTAAAAGTGTTTTCCACATACAAAATTTTATTTGCATATGGTGTCCTTTGAAAAAGAAGCACTTAAGATTTTTTAATCTCTTAAAGTTAGGCATTTAAATCTAGTTAAATTCAAATTGTGATATATTTTGTATAACATCTTCAAAATTTATATCAGTATAAAACAAGTTCAGTTAAAAATCTACTGCATACACACCACCTTAGGTCTACTGTATACAAGAAATGACACAAAAAATTCTTCTAGAGTTTGAAACTGTCTGAAAGATTTTTGTTTTCAATCACACGCAGAGGGTTTAAATAATGAAAAAACCATGCTGTAATTTTTTATAATGTTTCTGAAACAATAACAGCAAAAACACAATTTAAGAAGAAAAAAGATGAGAAAAAATTATTAACAATTAACAATAACAAATAAGAAATTAAGAAATACATTCATTTAAAAATTAGTTATTTGGAGTGCTTAACACAAACTATAGTTCATGAACTTTTACCTACCTAGACATGGTTTATAATATTCTTTAATTATCAAAATATGTTTCAAAAATGTATTACTTATACAAATATGAGCTATCATTTGATGAGTAAGACAGACACTTGTAGCTAAAAAAATTCATGTAAAGAGCATATGCATTTCCATATATTAAACAGTGAAAGGCGTAACAGAGGAACTTTGCCACTTTACATGAAACATTTTGTTTCTAAACTTTTGAAAAGATTGAATTGGCAGATACAATTCAAGTTGAGATTTGGTTGGGGACACGGCCAAACCATATCAATAACTTTATGTAAATTATTTATATTGATCATTCTTTTGTATCCAAATATATAAACACATAAGTAATATATGTTCTGTCCAGGTTTTGTGTGTGTGTGTGATATTCACTGTAAAAACCTGGTAGAGATTGAGAGGCAAAAATCCCAAGAGTGTGAGGAACCACCTATGACTGTCTCCCTGGAGTTTTTAAGTCTCAGAGTTGTCCACACTGAACCTACAACAATTCATAAATCATAGTTCATGTTTTTCCACATAGGCACGGGGTTCTTTGGACATTGCTGCTCTGGTATGTTGTGATTATCTGTATTCACCTCTTGCTGTCTCCAATTTAGAGGACAGCTGTTTGACCTGTCACCTCACTGCTCTTATGGTCTAAGAAAACTCATTAATTTATCAATGTCTTCAGTTTTTTACTTTTTGGACAGAATGATGACTTCCATGCTTCTTACATGCTGGACTGAAAACTGAAAGCCATATGTATGTTTTCAGAGGATAACTCTTTGTGAAATTATTTAACAAGTACGACCTACTGTCTGTGTAAATATCGCATGTATTTACTTTATACAGTCTTCCTTACTCACAGTGAAAATCTAAAATATTTATGGTGCTCTATATCAATTCATCACTTCTGTCAGTAAGAGAGAAAGTGAGAAAGAGAGAGAAATGAAGACACATAGGCACGCACACACACACACGCACTCACACTCACAGAAATAGTTAGAAAGGTTGAGAAATGGTAAATGTATCTAAAACCCAGTACATTTGACCAGTTTCTAGGAAATAAAGATAAAAAATTAAACTTACAAACAATTTCTATATATACATATATGTGTGTGTGTGTGTGTGTATATATATATATATATATATATATATATATGTACATATATGTTTAAAAGTATACCCGGTTACATAATATAAATACCTAATAGATTCCACTGCATTTCTTTTTGGGGACAGAAACAGTGATCTTCCTAAAAATTGGATATATTATACCCATTGAAAATTTGACTCTAACTTATACCTCAACCTCAATTTTTTTTTTTTTACTCCTCACACAAAATTCTACAGAGAATTTCTCACCATTACCCAAAATTGCAATACCCTTCTATAATTACGTAGCTTAGAAAACATTCTTTTAACTTTTACAGTAACCTCCAATCCCTCATTTTTCTTGCAAACTCCTACTCACCTCTCCAGGCCAAGATCATTTGTCATTCCTTTCTCATAATCAGCTTCCACAACCATGCTTTAATTTACCTCGTTTTTAACCCTTAACAAATTGTTAAAACACGGTGTATTAAACACATTGCTTAATAAACTCAAGTTGTAATCTTTAACACATTGATTTATTTTGTTTCTGTGTATGATTTAACAAGTATTCTCTGAGACCTTAAAGGTAAAAAAACATTCATCCTCAGATTTATATATAAGATGCAGAATCAGTGAGTGTTAATTGTTAGAAAATGACTTTAATACTGTATTTTATTTTAAACAGCAGCTCTTCATACAAAAGAAGTGAATTTAATAGATACATTAAATAAAAATTAAATTAGTTATTGTCTAGACTTCTTTATGTATTCCCATCATGTTTAGTACAATGATAATCTATGATTATCATCATCATCCTTGTCATTTCCATGGGTATATTTCCACAGGTATATGGTCTTTGTGGGTGAAAATACAGTTATATAATAGTGTCTTTTTTTTACAAGTTATTCTCTGTGTTTCAAAGTTGTAGAGTGAATTGGAAAATCCTTCCCTGAGCACTAATTACACTACATTCATATATTCAGTACATCAAAAAGCACATTACATTTTAATTCTTCATTTGCATGTCTATTTCTCTACTGGATTAAATTTATTCAAATAAAGTCAGTGTCTTTTTTTTTCTTTAATTCTCAGAAACTACCTGGAATAATGTAATCACTCATAAAATGATTTTTAAATGAATGAACTCATGAATAAGTAAATGAATGAATATTCTTGAATTACCTCTCAAGATTTCCATTTTGAGTCACTAAACTTACATGCTAAAGAAAATGTAGTTCCAAAAGGTCACTTTAAAGAACATTATAAGACTATAGCAAAGACATTTACTATGAAAAAAAGTCTTTTTTTGAGAAAATAATGTTGAGTTTTAAAAGTGTTATTTACCCATATAAAAATTATGGCTTTTTATTTTATGTGTATGTGTGTATGTGCGTGTGTTGGGAGAGAGAGACAGAAAAACAGATAAAGAGATTGAAATAGATAGAAAGACATTGAGACCAGAATTTTAAAACTCAATAAAATACAGAGTGACTAAGAGGAAAAGCGAGGGTGAAGGTTGTAATGCTGTATACAGATGACATGGGAATTTAAACAAAGGCCAAGGGGAGTTCGGAGAAAAATAACATTACCACAAATGGATGTTTTTGAGAAGGAGAAAAATGTCTGCTAAGGCAAGGAGATTTTGCATAGATTCTGGAAAGAGCATGAGGATACAGAATAATTTTCTGTGTTCACCATAGAATGGGGCTTCAGAGAACAATAGATATTCAGATGGAGATAGCAAATTCAGGATTGAAAAGTCAGTGAGATAAAAATTTAATCAATAGAGGAATCATAGTACTTGAAAGGATACCTAATTGGAAATTATTTTATTTGTGAGAAGAATGACAGGGATTAATGGAATTGTACAATCAATGAGTGTTAATGTTTCATCTGCATGAACATATGGCCAGAAAATGTTGAAGACAGATGCTATTAACAAGTCTGCAATGTCTGCTAATGGTAGCAAATAGAATCATGATGCAGTGTTTTTTTATTTTCCCTGAAGGAATTTCTCCCCAGATGGTTTGGGTAGGGTTCCAAATAGATCTTAAAATTAAATGTGTGCTGATAAAAATTGCATCACATTTTAAAGTTCTCATTTAGGTTTTTTCAGCCATTAGTAACCTTTTATCAAGAACAGTGTTCAGACATGATATGGTTCAAGTTTTACTTCTACTTATATTCCACAAAAACTGTTTAGAAAAACTAGATATTTAAGTATGACACACTTCTGCCGACAGAAATTTATAACTACTAATGCTAATCCTATGAACATCGACAATTGCTTACAAACATTATTTTATTATTCTTTATATTACTACATGAAAGAAGCCAGTCTAAAGAAAAACTACATGCTACATGATACTAATATGACTTTCATGAAAAAACAAAATTATAGAGATGGTAAACAGATTGAGAGTTGCCAGTGTTTAAGGGTTGGAGTGGGAGGCAGTTAAATAACTGAAACACAGGGAATCTTTAGGATAATGTAATTATTGTGTTTGATACGTAATGGTAAATTAAAAGCATTAAGTATTTTTCAAAACACATAAAATTTTACAGCACAATGAGTACACTTTAATATATGCAATTAAAAAAAATTAAGTAGTCGGTGGAACCGAAATGGAATTCAAAATTTGTCCAGAGAAACTAAATGTAATATAACTGTATGAAATTAATAGAATGAGGGATAAGGTGTTGATGTTAGTAGCTTTGAAAGTGAATAGAATGTATAAGACTAAAGGCAATGGGAGCTTTAGATAAGCACTGTATGCTAGTTGATAAAACTATTCCCTATAAGGGTACAGGTCAACAATTTTACAAACATTCTACATATATAGAGGCATTGGTCAGTTTAGCAAATGGATGGCAGATGTTGGAAGCCATGTTTTTTACATTTAGAATGGGAAGTTACAAATAATCAATGGGCAGTGACTAGAATGATAATCTATGTGGTAATAGATTAGATACATCATTATAAATTCATGTTTAATTTAATATACACATAGTTACATATAGAAATATTTATAGATGTTTGTATATACGCAGGTTTGCACATACATACGTGTGTGTGTGTGTGTGTGTGTGTGTGTGTGTATGTGTATGCTTTTGCTCTGGTAGCTGAGGTCTAGAAGGAACATTACCCAAATAGCAACAAACACACTTAGTTGCCAGTTCTTGGTTTCTAATAACATTATTCAATTAAAGGAATCTGTACACCTTGGAGAAAAGCTGAATCTAGCACTGGATTGGAAATAGGCAAGATGAGATTGGAGCATCTTGTATGCCCGAAATTAGGCTCAGGAAAGGAAAAAAAAAAAGAAAGAAACATCATACACACCCACACACACATGAGGATCTCAGTATGTCAAAAGAATACAGGGACCTAACAAATGCATTCCAAATGAGCAAAGTTGGAACAATTTAAACAGCAAGAAAATTATACATTCAATTATAGCCATAAAATAAAATAAATATATTTGAGTGTATCATGATATAAATAAATGAATGAATACATAAATAAATGGGGGAGATCAGACTATTATGCAGAAGAATTCCAATAATCAATCTGCGATTAGTAGAAAAAGCATAACTTTCTACTTTTTAAGTGTGGGCTGCACATAAAGGCTTCTTTCTAAAAGATACACTACAGAAAGAGAAAGAAAGAGTAGAATTATAGCAGAGAAATTTACAAACACTACTTTAACTCAGATAATCAACATTAACATGAATAATTATTAGTCATATTGATAGTGTGTAACCCTGATATGATGTAATGAGAATGGCACTTTACTTCGTTTGTCCTCCTCCTCAAAACATATTTTTCCAGTCTAATTATCAGAAAAATATCAGACAAATGTCACTTGAGGTATGTATTAGAAAATATCTGATCAGTAATTCTCAAAACTGTCAGGGTAATCAAAAATAAGAAAAGTCTAAGAGGTTATGACAACCACAAAAAGCCTAAGGAGGCATGACTACTAAATGTAAGGTGATATCCTGGTGAGATCTCACATAAAAAGTGCATTAAATAAAAGTGGAAAATGTGAATAAAATATAGACTTTCGGGGCCGGAGTGGTGGCTCACACCAGCACTTTGGGAGGCCTAGGTGGGTGGATCATGAGGTCAGAAGTTCGAGATCAGTCTGGCCAACATAGTGAAACCTCGTCTCTACTAAAAATACAGAAAATTAGCCAGGTGTGGTCATGTGCACCTGTAACCTCAGCTACTCAGGAGGCTGAGGCAGGAGAATCACATGAACCCAAGGTTCACAGAGGTTGCAGTGAGCCGAGATCATGCCATTGCACTCCAGCTCCAGTGATAGTGCGAGACTCCACCGCAAACAAACAAACAAACAAAATATATAGACTTTTTGTTAATAATAATGTATCAATAGTGGTTTGTAAATTGTGACAAATGGATCTATCTATTTTAAGATGTTAATAATAGGGATGTGTTAGTAGATGTTAATAACACTGGAGTAAACTATACCAGAGCTCTCTGTAGTCACTTCACCATAATTCTATAAATCTAAACTTGTTTTAAATTTAAACAAATTAAATTAGTTATCCTTCTATACAACATACACAAAATTAATTTTTGATGTTTTGTAGACATAAATGGGAAAGTTAAAACACTATTGTATTTAGAAGTGTGCATTTAGAAGTAAACATAAGAAAATATTTTCACAACCTTTCAGTAAGAAAAGACTTAGTAAATGGTACAACAGGAAGCACTAACAATAAATGAAAAACATTGATAAATTATAGTACATTACAATTCTGTTAATCAAAAGAAAAAATAAAGAGAATAAACAGGCAAGCCACCGAGTGTGAGAAGGAAATGTAAACAGGCTATATAAATACCTTTCAAAAATTAATAAGAAAAAGATATATGACTCAATAGAAAAATGAGGAGAAGCTGATAGGTACATCCCACATGAGTGTACTCAAATGGCAAATAAGCGTGTGAAAATGTATTCCTTATTGTGGAATGCAAATTAGGACAAAAATAAAATACTGTTATAACCAACTAGAATGGTCAAAGTGAAAAAAGATGAATAATACCTCGTATTGGAGAGAATATGGGGCATTTGGAATTCTCATACATAATGGTTGGTAAAGTAAATGACACAAACACTTTAGAAAACTATTTGTCAGTAACAATCAAAGATGAAAATGTCCACACTATATGATACAAAATTATTTTCATTTTATATGTAATAGAAATGTACAGCTATTAGCATAAAAAGTCATAACAAGGTATTCATAGCAGAAGTATTCCAATGTACAAAAAATTAAGTATCTAATGATCTAAAATGGATAAATGCACTCTGGTATATGCATATAATTCAATATTATACAGCAATAAAAATGAGCAAATTATTGCTATATGCAGCAACATAGGTCAAACTCACACAAAAAAAATGTTAAAAGAAAGAAGCCAGACATAAAAGAGTAAGTTTTTTATGAATCTAATAGAGGAAAAAATTGTCAGAGGGGGCAAAAAAGGGTACTTATTGTGCCATTTATACATTATTCTCTTTCTAAGTGCTGGTTATGGGCTTTATTCATATGTGAAATTCATTGAGATATACCTTCACACAATTTATAGTCTACAAAGACATTAAATATTAATTATATGGTATTTAGAACAGAATAATATTAAAAATCCTATACAGTACTTTGTAAAAACTTAAGAGTTTTGAGCACAAGCTTTTAAAAGAAAATAAAGATCAAATATATATGAGTTATTTTCAAACAATATGAGAAAATGTTAACATAATAGCTAAATAAAATATAAGGAAAACATTTTCAATAAGGACACATACAGTTCTTCAACTCTGATTTTTTTCCTCAATGAATATATTAGTTTATTTTATATTAGTTTCCTATCTGCTGTAACAAATTTCAACCAAGTTAGTTGCTTAATATAACACAAATTTATTATTATTTTAAATTTCTGGAAGCCAGGCATTTTAAATGGCTTTTGCTAGGCTTCAACGTGTCCAGACGTATTCCTTCTGGATGCTCTAGGGAGAATCAATTCTCTAGTCTTCAGCTTCTGGAAGCCACTATTTCTTGCCACAGGGCATCTTCCTTCATCTTTAAAGCCAGAAGTTTATCATCTTCTCATCTCTCTCCAACTCTGACCCTTCTCTTATGAGGATTCTTGTGATTACATTGAGCCCACTCAGATTATCCAGGGTAATCTCATTTCAAGATATTTAACTTAATCATATTTTGGGATCCTTTTTGTCTGCCATGTAAGTTATCATATTCACAGGTCTCCTGGATTAGGATGTGGACATCTTTGGGCAACCATTATTCTGCTTACCACAGTGAATAAAATATATAAATCAAATAAGCAAACTATTGAAATTAAATGAAGCAAAGAAATTAATTTATGTCTTCATTATAATATTTTTTCAAATATTTGTAATGTTGTAATAATTATTAGGTAAATTAAACATTGGACTCTGTTTAGTGTTAGGCTGAAATTCTTCCTGGATTTCTTATGTTCCTGCATGGTCTGGGCCTGCTGAGCAAAAGGAATTGCAAGAATATTTGTATTACAGACACCTTGAAAACTTAGTCTCTCCTTTTAGATAGAGGCCCCAAGAATAATTTGGAAATGGAAAGCTTTCTTCTTCTCTTCCTGGAAACACTTGCTTATTTTCTGGGGTAATAATTCTAGCAATTGGAGAGTGAAGAAACAATGTAAGTTGTGAGCTAACATCTCAAATCCTTAATGGTTTAGAATTTAACATTTACATTTTTATCATTAGTCCTTGATATTATCTCTATTGTGTTTTCCTATCATGCAATTAAAACAGATAAGGACCTTCTTCAGAAAATTATTCTGGAGAATTGTTATGTAAAAATATTTTATACATTTTTACACTTGAGATGTTATTCCAAGACCATGAACTCCCCAAATTTTTATTACAAATAAACTTTTGTTTCTTATACAAAGGTAAAGCGCTCAGTGACATTTCTAATTTGGGATACAGCAGTTCAGTCATCCTCTCCCTAAGCAGATACTTACATTTTAGAATTAATTTAGACGTGCTTTAGACATTTTATATTCTAAAACAAAAAAAGAAATTGTATTTTGACTTCAGTAATCAATAAATATGAATTAAATATTCTTCTCAACCCCGAACGTGGCCAATTTTATAACGCGATTCTACCATTTTTATTTTTTATTTTTCAGTGCTCTGTGAGTGTATCAATATCTAGCTAGACATCTATCAATCTAATATATCTATACCTACGTATCTGTTTCTAATAGTTTAACTATTTCTTTTTCAAAATTATCATTACTTTTCTTTGTTGATAATATATTTTGAAATGTCAAGTGAAATTAGAAAGTGATATTTTAATTTTTGAAAAAATGAATTACAAAATAATTTTAATATACACGTAACTATTTCTCACATTATCAATTTTTTTCCTCCTTCTATTATTACTTGACTTATTCAAAACTTTATAACATTTCTCCTAATGCATAGCAACAGTTTCTATCTGGTATCCCTGCTTCCAGTCTTAATTCATTAAATTCATTACTCATTTAGCTATCAGAATTGTCTCCGTTTTTCAATTTTTAAATTTTCAATTATTAAAATAAATTTTATTGTGTAAATTTGAGTTTTACAACATGATGTTATGGGATACATATTGATTGTAAAATGGTTATTATACTGAAGCAGATTAACATCTATCATCTCATAGTTTCTTTTTTGGTGACCAGAGTGTCTTAAATCTACTTATCCAAAAAAAAAAGTACCATATAATTTTATTAACATCAGTGCTCATCTTATATATTAGTTATCTACCCTTGTTCTTTCTACATATCTGCTATTTTGTATCCTTTGGCCAGGTACTCCCATTTTTCTCACTCTTAGCCTTCCCCACAGTGGTGAGCACCATTTCATTTTCAGATAAATATTAATAAGAAGAATTCGCATACTTTATTTAAAACTATAATTTTTTTCAAACAAATATCCCATTTATCTTTATACCAAAAAAATTACCATTTTAAAAAATATTAAAATTATAAAGTGTGATGCTTTACATTATGCTGACTTCAAATTAAATTATTTAAATTAGTATCTGTTTCATGTCAAGTAGAAAAATACAGTATGAAAACCAGAGAAAAAACACAGGAAAGCCGGTGTGCTATTACTAAGGATTCTAAACATATTATGCTAAGTGAAGAAAATTTTAAAATAACATGAGATTTCTAAAGAATATAATAGCAATATTTTATAGTATGGTATAATTTATATATTTCTGCATAAAAATGGCCATGTATTTAGCAATTTACTATTCTGTGTAAGAAAATAGTATTTTTTTCTGAAAAAAATAAGCCATTTATTTTTTCAGTTTAGTGTTATAAATGACTTTTTTTCTCCATAATTAAATGAATGTATTTTTTAACACAATTAATGTGCCTGCATCAGCCTCTAGTTTAATTGCTAACTTTATAATGCACAATCATAATGTGACTGAAAATTTACTGCTTCATACATGTTTATGAATGAAGTAATCAGATTCACATATATGCAGATTTAAATCAGAGTAATTGTAACAATTTTTAAAAAAGAAATCGATTAACTCCTCTTTTCATATTGCCAGTCTTTCTTCCATCTGTGCAAAAAAAAAAAAATGAATTGGTGTCATAAATCTAGAGGCAGCCAAAAATACAAGCCCACATATAACATCCTACTTATGCAAATAGTGCATCTGCTGCTATATGAGCAGGCCAAAGAATATTTCCAACTAGACTCATACACCCACAATACTGTGAGAATTAAATCAATCAAAACCACATTCTACTAGAAATATATATTTAAAAACTTAAAATATTCATGCAATATAATTATGTACAACCTGCTTATGAAGTTGTTTTAATTACCCAGCACACATGAATGCCAAATTATATTTGACCTTTCAATAGCCGATTGTCTCCAAAAAAACCTTTCCCCAAAAAGCCTATCAGTAGAATTTTGTTTTTTGAAAATGTTTTAACATATTAAATATCTTACTATATTAAAACCTTTCCATATTTAACTCCCAAAATTGTAAATTAAATCCAGTAATAAAATATGAGCTTTTTCTTATATTTAAATATTTTATAGTATAAATTTATCTTTTTTGTACATAAGAAAATCTTGGTTATAAATGTACCATGTTTTATTTTAATTTTTATAAACAATGTTATAAGCAATATTTAAGGCATAAATATAAATAGGGCTTCGTTGTTTTAAAATTTATTTTACATGTTATCACAACCACAGTAGGAAGAAAAAAATTAAGTTTTTAATTTTTTTTAATCATGTGGCAAAAAAGAAACGCTCATTCAGTAAATAATATGGTCTAAACTCAAAGCAAAGTTTTCTGAATTCAGAAGCAAGGGTAAACTATGCTGTATGAAGCCTCTACATACATTTCTTCTATATTCAGTGTTTGCAAATTTGCTTATGCACTTACTTAATAACCACAAACTGATTACAGTCTACCAAAACAAGTAATAAATTATTCATAGGGTAATCAGATTCTAGTGCTTACGTGGCCATGAACACAGTTCAGTAGCAAACCACAATAATAATCACAAAATTATATAATTTATAAAATCCCATTGATGCCGACTTTCTTTCTGTTTTTATGAGACAGAGACTCACTCTGTTGCCCAGGCTGGAGTTTAGTGGCGTGATCTTGGCTCACTGCGAGCTCCACCTCCCGGGTTCACGCCATTTTCCTGCCTCGGCCTCCCGTGTAGTGAGTAGCTGGTACTCCATGCATGTGCCATCACACCCGGCTAATTTTTTGTATTTTTAGTAGAGACGGGGTTTCACCATATTGGCCAGGCTGATCTCGAACTCCTGACCTCAGGTGATCCACCCGTCTCAGCCTCCCAAATTTCTGAGATTACAAGTGTGAGCCACCACACCTGGCCCTGACTTTCTTTTAGAAACTTATTTATATTTCTCTATACATAGTTATAAGATTGTTTACTATGATTGTTCTTAACCTAAGAGCATAACAATTTGACATCAATAACTGTGACAAGAGGTACAGTAGAAAATGCTGTAAGGGTAATGCAGTGGAAGTAGGTATACTTTGAAAAATGTACAAGGAGTGGAGAGAAGGGTAGTTTGCCCCTCCACTCCAAACTAGGATGTATTTCCATATATTGTTTCCAACAGTTAAAATTACTTCTCTAAAATAAACTGCAAATAAACAGCAAATAAGTGCCAAAATGCTGAATATTTTTCTGAGGTTTATAATTTTTATATTTAAATGTTAGGTACCTATTTTTTATGTAGCTAATGCTTTTCGGGGTTCAAAATTCAAAAGTTACACCATGGTATATTGTAGAAAGCCCTCTTCTCAGTTCCTTCACACAGGTATCTTATTGTACCTAAAGGCAAACAATTTTATTAAGTTTTTTAAAAGAAATAGAATTCTGGAGATATACATATCCAAGTGAGTGCATTTCTTTCTTTTCCTTCTTTTATATTATACAAATGGTATAATATAGTTCAATATTGGGAATATTTTTCATTTTTATAAATTGGCATTTATCTTATAAATCAATTGGAATGAATATATAAATACATCCATCATCACTATTGCTTATTTATACAGATCCATAGGAGCTGTATGTATGATATATGATGCCCAAGAGCTTCGTTTTCAGTTCATGCAAAAGCTAGTTGCAAAAGCCAGAAACTACAGATGATGTATTCATCTGAGTCAAAATCATCTCTTCACTAAGCTATTCAAATAGGCTCTTATTGTTTCTCCATCTTTGCTCCTAAGAAAATCCTCATTCCTAGTCAGTTAGTCATTTAGAATTCTAAAATCATGTCACTTCTATGCTTCAAGTCATAGCATGGTTTCTCATTTTTTCTGCTTACAACTTCCATCTCATCACCTATTATTTTTGTCCTCTCTCTCCAACCTGCAGCCACAAAGACTATATTTATACTTAGTTGTTATATATTAAGCCCCTACTAGTGTGTCGTGTTCTGTTTTAGATGCTTGGGTCACTGAAGAACATACATACAAAAACGGCTCTACTTTTAATGATGCATATGTTCATATGGAGAAAGACAAAAATAATCTAATATAAAGATGATTTGTCAGATGATAAGTGCTAAGAATGAGAATAAAGAGGGTAAGAGTTGTATTGTTCACAGGTTGTCAAAGGAAATTCATGTAGGCTCTGAGGCTGAGCATTCTAGGCTGAAAACAAAGCAGAACAAAGATTCTGAGACAGAAACATGTTTTGTTTAATAAAGAAGTAGAGCCCACTGAATTTAGAAAGAGACTGTGGGTTGGTATGGGTACAAAGATGAAAGTAGGGAGCATATTAGGATGATACTGATGGAAAAAAAAACTGGTGAAAACAGTGGTGTCATGGATCCGCACAAGCAGTGAAGTGAGTGAAATATGATTGTGCTTGTTGATGGTTGCATTTGCTAATGTGGGAGGTGTAAGAAATGACGGAGTAAAGATGACATGAAGATTCTGAACCTGAGCACATATAAGTTCCAGCAATTAAAGCAACATAGAAGGAGTATGCTTTTTGGTTTTAGATTTATTTTTTAAGGGGCAGTAGTGCAGGAGCAGAGTTCAGTATTAGATGGCTATTAATTATTTAAATAGAGTCAAAAAGAAAGTTAAGTACATGAGTAGAAATTTGATGGAGAGATCTGAGGTGTAATTATGATTTTGGAAATCCTCAGAATAGAGATGGCGTTTAATGACATGGGACTGGATGTTTCTGTTTTGTGCTTAATATTGGTGTTGGCCTTTTTACAGGGTATATTTCTTCCTCTTAAAGTGTACCTTCCCTGGAGCTTCAGCCTAATGCCTGAGGTCCTCAGTGAGGTCCCTCCATTCTTCCTATCTAAGCTGAAACTTCAACATCTTCAGGAGTGTGTGACACCTGGTATGTCTGCTCAGTTCTGAGCTCTGTAGTGACTCCACTGTTGTGTTTTGGAAAACTTGTCATGTGCACATGAATAATTTAATCTTAGATTATTAAATTATTGACTTTAATACCGCATGCTTAACTAAGATAATTAACATCAGAATATCATCTAAGATTTGTCTTCTTAAAAATCAAGTTTTACCAGAATCTTAATATGAATTATAAAATTAATGATTTTATTGGGACAGTTTTAGAGATCTGATACTTATTTGTAATTTGCAAATATTCTAAGATGTTGGTCATTAGAGAACATATATGAATAAGTGCATGTGGTAGTTAGGAGAGTGGAAATGAATACAAACTATTAATGGGTTGTTGCAGAATATTCTGACCTTACTGAATAAACACACAATACATATGCGCACACATTCATAGAATCAGAAAGTCATGAAAAGGCTGAATGTAAAACAAAGAGCATGAGAGACCCATGTTCTTAAATTCTATTAGTACTAAAACTTCCAGTTAACATTGTAGAAACATATATATTAGAGAATTATGAATAAACACAGTCCTTGACGTATGCACAATCTGAGTTGATCAAAGGACACTGGCAGAAACATTAAAAAACTGTGTAAGATATTTCACTGCAATTTTATAAATTTCTTCAGTATAGTAGTAGTGTTTTCCTACTCATTACAGGATCTGGGGCCATCTGCTTTTAAAATAATACCTTGCACATAATGGGAGATCTTTACATAAAGTTTGAATAAATTAAGGAAGAATTAATTAGCAAGTCCATTCCTGCTATGTCATTTAAGCAATTTTTTATTCATCAAAACATACTACTTCAAGCTAATATTAAATGGTTTATATTCATGAAACCATGGGCTATTACTTAATTCCTAGAATTTACCTGCAAAAAATCATTGATTTATACACTATACAAGGTAATATTCTGGTTCATTCTCTGGAACAAATTGCAACTTAATTGAAAATAGTATGAAAGCTAGTAAGTATAATTCAAGTGAAAAGCCTTAAATTCCATAAGAATTAAGAACCTTTGGTAATTAATATACCAAACTTTTGGTATTTGAAAGTGAAAAGATGTATTCCTTTAAGAAAAATAATAAAGTTGTCAAGATGAGGAAGAATTAAACGTACGTAATATTGGGCCCTAATAGATGAGTGATGATAACAGAAAGTAACGTCAATCAAGACAACAGAACAGTATGGGGTGTTTTCAGGGAGTATTATTTAATCAACCTGGCGTTCTAATGATAGTGACTATGAATTAGCAACCTTACTTTGCCCTAATGTGAGTGGCTTATTAGAAGAGGCTCAGGTCAGAAGTGGGATACTAGTGAGCAAGCTGCTGCTAGAGGTAATGAGGCAAGAAACAGGATTTTAACAACATTAGAGATCTCGTTAATTCAAACTAATGGAAAAAATTGCAGTAACATAAAATGTAAATCTCTCCAACTTTTAAATTTATAATTGGCAGAGAAGGAGAAGCTATTGAAGATCTTGATGCTTTGAAACTGTATGAGAGGTGTTGTTATCAAAAGAACTAGCTAGGAGAAAAAAGAAAATATACGTTGATGGTAGCTGTTGGATTTAGTTCTGGTTTAAAGTATTTAGACATGAATCTGATCCTGGATTTCAAAAGGACCTTTATTGAAAATGTCAAGTGACAAGAGATATTAAGATGCATAAGATTGAACACTACAGCATCTTCTTTCAATAATTTGATTTACTCACCCTTATTTAAAGAATTGAATCTTTCTGTTCTCAAGCCTCCTTTTCACCAATTAATTTGATTCAGGACAAAAAGTGGTGTTTGATATTTTCAACTTTAAAATAAGTCAATTTTCCTGCACGCTTAAATATTCTGTTATCTTGAATTCTAATGAAGGACCTATAACTATGTATTTAATATTTGGTAAATTTATACAGATGTAACATATTATTGAAATAAGATTGTATAAACTAAACAAGAAAATAGACTGAAAATATTGTCTCAAAAAGAACAATTCTTGCTATGCTTTTCTTGTATTTATATTTTATTCATGTAAGCTGTTTTCTATCCTGGAAATATCATCCTCCTACTCTCCACCTTCTTTTCACCCTTCACTCTTGTCTTTCAATGCTCAGCTAAAATTAAACTCCTCAAACAGGCTTTCAAAGCTCAGTGTAGAATCATCTGTTATTTCCTGCTTCCTCAGTATTAACTTTTTATATATTATATGTCTTGTTATATGTATAAATGTTTATTTCCTAAATCACCAGTACACTGTAAACTCTATGAAGTTAGAAATGTAAAATCAACACCTAATTTGGTATTTATTCATAATGAGAATTTAACATATTTTTGCATTGATAAATGAATGTAGGTTAGCAAACCAGTAAAATACACATTTCACATGCTGCCAAGTGATTTATTGATCACATACCAATTCTAATACTGGAGCATCTTATTTCAAAGAATATGAAGCATTTGTGGTAATTATTCACAAATTTGTTAGTATATTTTAATTCTTATTTTATAGCTCAGTTTTATTTTTGATAAATATACAAAACTCTCAAAATCTGAATACTCCATTTGCAAGCTGCTCTTATCTAATAATCTTACCTTCATTTCCTTTTTACATCTTCTACCTTACCCATTAATTTTGCTATTTTTAATTGGCACAGCCACATTTTGCATCATTCTAGTTTGTGCCTATCATATGGAAAAGCAGAAGTGTTATCTGTGACTGTTTGGATTTTATAATTAATTTGAACTACTTGAAGTGTGATTTGTTCATGGAGTCATTGGAGAGGCATAATATTATTAAAAGCCAGATGTTGGCACATTTTGCATGCTTAACAGGCACAAAACCATTTCCTAGTGGAAACATTTTAAAAATGGTTTTGGTTCCCCTATACGGATTATCAATTCAAATAATCTCACTTACTTTTCTTTTCTTACTTTACATGGGGCAAGTATATTGATATCTGAAACTGCATTTGAAAAATTTGGGAAAACATTGATCTTTCTGGCAAATAGACTTTACTAATTAAACATACCTTCAATATCTTAATGGGAAATTGAAACATATCTCAATTTTACTGCTTGAAAACCAGCAATGCCAAGTTATATTTCTCAATAAATAAAATTATCTCTTATTTTACTTTGGCCATTTATTACTTTACTTCATTACAATACACCTTCTTTTTTTTTTGAGACGGAATCTTGCTCTGTTGCCCAGGCTGGAGTGCTGCGGCGTGATCTCGGCTCACTGCAAGCTCCGCCTCCCGGGTTCACGCCATTCTCCTGCCCTCAGCCTCCTCAGTAGAACCACATTTGTAATCTTCATTTTTAACTGTACATTTGCTTAAATGTACCATAGTTGCTACACATGAACAAAAAAATCAAATGTTCTAAGTTGCTATCGAATGCAATTCTAAAATTAGCTTACTTCAAAGAGTGCACTAATTTGGCTAAATCATAGAAATGTCTCTTTTTAACAAAATATACCACATTGGGGAAAACATGATTTTTAGAATATTATTATAAGTGTTGTAGATATGTTCTGAGAGAAAGGCTATTTCTTCAATAAAAAATATTAAAAATACTACTCAGCATTAAGAAAAGGAATAAACTGTTGTTTCACACTACAATTGTGATAAATCTCAAAATAATTATACTAGATGAAAGAAACCAGGCAACCAAGAGTACATACTGCATGAAATCATTTATATAAAACTCTAGAAAATGCAAACTACTCTATATAATGAAAGAAAACATATCAGTGGTTACATGAGAAGGAGAGCTTTGGGAGGGAGACAGGCATTTAAAAAGGTCTTGTTGAAGAACTAGGCATGTTCACTATTTTAATTGTGCTGATGGAATCATGAGTATATCCACAAGCCAAAATGTATCAAATTCTACACTTAAAATATGTACAGATTTATTATATTTCAACAATAACAATAGAGCTGTTGAAATAATAGATTGAAAACTACCACTATTAATCAATAAACAAATGTTTACTGAAAAGTAAGTTTACATCTCTGTGAATACTAATTGAAGAATCAAAGAGGAAAAAAATTGAGGAGAAAGGTAAGATAAAAGTGGAAATTATTACCAACTTTTCTGTGTCAGTTTTTTAGCACTTTAGAAGCATTATCTTTTTAATGCTTATATCAAAATATTAACAAAATAGAAGCTTAACTGACAATAAGCAGAATACTTGAAGTTCACAGTCAAGTATCCCTGAAAAAGCTTGATTCATCCATACCTATTTATATTTTCAATTTTAAATATTTGAGAAAAGAATAACAGCTCAAGAGGGAGGCAGAAAAAATGGCTGAATAGGAGTTTATCCCCACAAGAACATCAAATGGAACAACTATCCACACACAAAAAAAGGACCTTCATAAGAATCAAAAATTAAGTGACTGAACACAACATCTAGTTCTAACTTCAAATCACTGAAAGAGGCAGTGACAAGACTAGAAAAGGCAGTCTTGAATTGCCAACTCCACCCATTCCCTATTCCATAGCAGTAGCCACTTGGTGCTGAGAGATATCTATGCCTTACAGAGACAGACAGCACAGTGAATGCAAAACTTTTCATTGGAAATCAGCGCTCCCTATCACATCAGAAAGGTACACTGAGCAGAACTTACTCAACACCTACAGAGGAAGCATTTTTAGACCAGCTCTAGCCAGAGGAGAATCACCCATCCTAGCACTCGGAACCTGAGGGCTGTCAAGCCCCACCACCATGAGCCAAAGTGTTATAGGGTTCTAAATAAACTTGAAAGGCAATATAAGGAACAAGGGCTGCAATTCCTGGTCAAGTTCTGGTGCCGTGCTGATCTCAAATCCAATGTACTTGAGGGGGTATGTGACCTAGAGACATCAGCCACGGTGGCCAAGGGAGTCCTGGTGTCACCACTCCCCTAAAGCCAGGCAGTGCAGCTCAAAGCTTTTGGAGAGACCCCTTCCTTCTGCTTGAAGAGAGGAGAGGAAAGAGTAAAGAGGACTTTGTCTTGAAATTTAGATATCAGGTCAGCCACAGTAGGATAGGGCAACAGGAAGAGTCCTGAGACCCCTGTTGCAGGTTCTAGCTTCAGGATGACATTTCTAACCACACCCTGGGTCGGAAATCCAGGCAGGATTCATCACCTGCTAAGTAAAGAGCTCTTGGGCCCTGAATAGCCAGCATTGGTAGTCAGGCAGTACTAATCACAGGCCTTTGGTAGGACTTAAACATGTGCTGACTTTGAGTGTGACCCAGCACATTCCCAGCTGTGGTGACTACTGGAAGGGACTCCTGATTGAGAAAAGAAGAGGGAAGAATAAAGGGGACTCTGTCTTATAGCTTAGCTACCAGATTCGCCACAATGGGGTAGAGCACCAAGTGGGCACTTGGGGTCCCCAATTCCAGACCTTGATACTTGGATGGCATTTCTGGACATGCTGTGAGCCAAAGGTGAGTTCACTACCCTGAAGGGAGAGTCGCAGACCTGGGAGCATTCACCACAAGCTGAATAAAGATCCCCTGGGCCTTGAGGGAACATCAGTGGTAGCCTGGCAGTACTTGCAGTGAGCTTGGGGAAGTGGTGGCCATGGGAGGGACTTTGCTACTTGTGGAAAGGGAGGAATTAGTGAGAAAGACTTTCTCCTGTGTGTTGGATGCTAGCTCAGCTGTAGTAAAATGGAGCAAAAGGTAGATCCATAAGGTTTTGGAGGCTAGGCCCTGGCTCCCCAGTGGCATCTCTAGACCCACACAGAGCCAGGGGGAGCTCACTGCCCTAAAGGAAAGTGGACAAGCCTTGCTGACTTTGCCACCTGCTGACTGTAGAGAGGTAGGCCTTGAACAAACATAGACAGTAGCCAGGCAGTGGTTTCCAAGGACCTTGGGTGAGACCCAGTACCATGGTGCCTTAAGCTCTGATCCAGAACTGTTCCAATAGTGGCGGCCACAGGAATATTGTGTCACCCCTCTTCCAGATCCAGGCAGTTTAGCACAAAGAGAGACTCCCCATTTGTATGGGAGAAGGTAAGGGAAGGGAATCAGAGTCTCTGCCTTGCAATCATAAGAGCTAAGGCAGTACCTCTACAAGTCTGCAAGAGACACATCATTACTGGGTTGGGGGTGCCCCTAATTCTGATATGGCTGCAGTGATCAAAAACTAATATAACAACACTCAAGTCCTCTCCCTCCACCCCACTATTTTTTTTGAGATGAAGTCTTACTCTGTCACCCAGACTATAGTGCAATGGCGCAATCTCTGCTCATTGTAATCTCTGCCTCCCAGGTTGAAGCAATTCTCCTTCCTCAGCCTCCTGGGTAGCTGGGACTACAGGCATACACCACAACACCTGGCTAATTTTTGTATTTTTAGTAGAGATGGGGTTTTGCCATGTTGGCTAGGCTGGTCTCAAACTCCTGACCTCAAATGATCTGCCTGCCTCGGCTTCCCAAAGTGCTAGGATTACAGGCATGAGCCACTGCACCCAGCCCCAATTACCTTTGAATACCTGGAAAGCCTTCCAAAGAAGGATGGGTATAGATTATTCAATTCTTCAATTGAATATGCCCACATCTAATATAGTTTGTTCTCTCATATAATTATAACATAAAATTAAATTAAATATTACTTATTTGATTAAATATTATTTGTATTAAAGTATTGGGAAAGCTAAAGTTTAGTTGTTTGAATAGATAGATTTAATTAATCAACCCTTAACTAGCCTGATCAAAAGAAAAAGAGAGAAGAGAATACAAATCAACAAAATCAGGACTGGATAGTGAAAGATGTTATCACCAGAGATCTTATAGATTTTAAAAAGACATTAAGAGAATAATAAAAAACCTTAATAACTTACATGAAATAAGGTTTTTGAAAAAATAACTTGCCCAAACTGACACAATATGAAACGGATAATCTGAATACCTTAACAACTGTGAAATCAATAAAATTCACAAGCTTTCCAACGAAGAGAAGTCTAACCCAGTTTGTTTCATTGATGAATTATTTGAAACAAATAATAAACTCCTTAGGCAATATTTTTTTTGAGACCTATTCTTGCTCTGTCACCCAGGCTGGAGTGCAGTGGCATGATCTCGGGTCTTGGCTCACTGCAACCTCCTCCTCCTGGGTTCAAGTGATTGTCCTGCCTCAGCCTCTTGAGTAGCTGGGATTACAGGCGTGTGCCACAACACCTGGCTAAATTTTGTATTTTTAGTAGGGACAGGGTTTCACCATGTTGGCCAGGCTGGTTTTGAACTCCTGACCTCAGGAGATCTGACTGCCTTGGCCTTCCAAAGTGCTGGGATTACAGGCATGAGCCACCCCATTTGGCCACCTTAGTCAAATTCTATTGGAAAATATTAGTAGGAATGCTTCTGAGTATAAGGGTAGCATTCTAAATCAAAGACGCAAGAAAGATACAGGTATTGGGGAAAGATTATTTCAGGCAGAAATAACTCCTACAGTGAAACTGGCATAATGTCACTTCAGCTTTAATTTCTTTGTCAAAATAATCACGTTTTACTTATGCAAAATAATAAAGGTAAGAATGACCACTGACTTGTCATCAGAAAAAAAAAAAATTCTAGCCAGAAGATAATGGAACAGCATCATTAAAGTGCTGGAAAAATATCAACATATATATTTAAATCCAGTTAATCTCTTCCAAAAATAAGGTAAAATAAATGTTTCTAGATAAACAAAAGCTATGAGAACTTTTCCACTGCAGATCTGCATTTCAAGAAATTTAAATATTAAATTTTCACTTTCAGGATAAAAAGAAAATGTTGTTAGGTAGAAATGCAAATAAATTTACTCAAAGAATGGATATTATGGAAATTATAACTGTGGATTAATACTACATATTTTACTTCCTATTTTTATGAAATCCTAAAAAGTCTACTGACTGTTAAAAGTAAAAATTGTACTACAAAGAAATTAGTTATTATGTATTTTGATGTAAATTTTATACCAATAGCAGTGCAAAGAATGAGAGAAGGAAAAATGTGAATATACATTTCTATAATTCTTATATTGTAGAGTATTATCATTTGAAGGCAAATTGGGTAAGTTAAAGTTGCATATTATAAATCATAGAGCATCTAATACAAAATAAGATACAGATAGTATATTTAATAAACCAGATGCTATTAATAAGAAAAAGAGGAAGTTATTAGACTTATACCCAATCATATCTATAATTACATTAAATGTAAATGGAATAATAAAACTGTTTACAATACAGAGATTATCAGTAAATAAAATGACAGTAACTGTCAACAATAAATATGTATACTTTAAATATAAGGATAAAGAGATAAAAATAAAATTATGGAAAAAGATATAATATGTAAATACTAATCACAAGCAATCTGGAGTGGCCATAGTAATACAAAATCATGGACTTCAGGAAAAGAAGCATTCCCAGAGATAAGATAGACATTTCATGTGATGAAAGAAGATGGATATTTCACAGATATAACAAGAAGTTATAATAATCCTGTTTTTGCTCCTTATAAAAGAGCTTAAAATTCCATAAAAGCAAAACTCACAAAAATAAAAGAGAAAAACAGGAAAATAATAATTACTTTTAGTGATGTCAATACTGCTGACTCAATAGATGATATACAAGACATGAACTATGCTATCAATCAACTTGACCTGAATTACTTTTATAGGACACTATAACTAATGACTGCAGAATACACATTGATTTCAAGTGCACATTACATTACTGGTGATAAAATAAGCCTGAATCAATATAAAGGAATTAAAGCATATACATATATTCTTGGACAAGTTTAGAATTACATTGGAAACTAATAATTTAAAAAATCTCAAATACCATTTAAAAAACACTATGAAGATTGATGGTTACAAGAAAAAATGATAATGAAACATTTTTTAGTGAAATGATAAGAAATTAACAAAGCAATATTTGTGGGATACGGATATAGCAATGCTATAAATGATTATATCAGAAAAGTAAAAAGATTCAAAATCAGCTATCAAAGATTCCAACTTAATAAACTAGTAAATGAAGAAAAATTTCAAAACAAAGCAAATAGAAGGAAATCCTAAAGAGAACAGCAAAAATAAATTAAGAAGTTGACTACCAATAGTATAGCAGATAGAATTCTAAGGACACTAATACTCCTATGTTCTGGTACACATGCACTGGAAGGAGTTCATAAACTAGAAAATGGCAAAATAAAATACATAAATTTATTTTTATATACAGATTATTTTGCTTTTTACTCGAGTAAAGATAAATAATCAAAAAGAACACCCAATATGGGTCCATTAGTACTAGCCCATCCTACACTACCATTAAATATTTAGAATGTATGCAATGAATAAACAGCCAACAGTGAACACCTGGATTTTCAAAGGCTTTGTTTTAGAAAACCACACATATTATTTATTTAACTGTTTCATTTCATTCCAGGTCAGTGGAGAAACAATCAAGAGAAGTCATTTTTCATTAAAATAAATTTATCCTTAATTTATTATTTTTCTGTTGTAAGCAACAAATTAGAAGTTTCCGAATATTAAAAAATAAGATTTTTCTTCTTTTTCTCAAAAATTAGAATACTTATGATTCTGACAGTTAAAGTAAGACCAGAATAATATTCTCTTGATAATATTAGAAAGTCACATTAAAATACAATTATAATTAAATTTAGGTTAATTGTATTATCATGTTTATTTATCTTATGTTGGTTTTAAAAATAATTGAGAGGAAGTAAAATTCGAGTTATATAATTTAATTACCAAATTCCTTGAGTAAAAGTGATGTAATATTTTTAATTGCTCTAGAAAATAATAATGGTCTGAATATGAAGCGTTGAGATCTAATTAACTTGAATAAAGACATTTTACAATTGTTTTAGAATTTTCAAAGATTTTTAAACTTTTTTTCAGAATGAGTTCAGGAAGTTTATTAAGTTTTAGGAGAGTAATTGTAGTGGTGAATTCTTTTTTTAATTTTAGATTAAGGATTCACAAGTGCAGTTTTGTGAAATGGGTGTATTGCGTGATGCTGTGTGTGGGACTTCGGTGAACCTATCACTCAAATAGTGAACATATACTCAACAGGCAGTTTTCAACGCTTGCCCTGCTCATTCCCACCTACTTTGTGGAGTTTCCAGTGTCTGTTGTTTCCAATTTTACTTTTAAGTGTATCCAGTCTTTACTTCCCACTTATAAGTGAGAACATGTGGGATTTGATTTTCTATTTCTGCTTTCAGTCACTTAGGATAATGGTCTCCAATGGCATCCATGTTGCTGCAAAGGACATATTTTCATGCTTTTTTTATGACTGCATAGTGTTACATGGTCTATATGTATCATTTTTATCCAATCCACCATTGATGGACACAGTTTTATTTCATGTCTTTGCTATTGTGAATAGTACTGCAATAAACATATGAGTGCAGGTGTCTTTGATAAATACCCATACTGTATTTAATGGAGGCTGTAATAATTTATATTCCCAACAGTGTATAAGCATTCCCTTTTCTCCATTTCCTTGCCAACATATGTTGTTTTTTGACTTATTAATAATAGCCATCTGACTAGTGTGAGAAAATATATCATTGTCATTTTATTTTTTTCTTCTTGTATATACTTCCAATGTATCGTTGTGGTCTTAGTTTGTATTTCTCTGATAATTAGTGATGTTTAGCAATTGTTTTCATGTTTGTTGGTCACGTCTATGTATTCTTTTGAGAAATGTCTGTTCATGTCCTTTGCCCACTATTTATGCAGTTATTTCTTTTTATTTTCTTGTTCTTTTGTTTAAATTCCTTTTAGATTCTGGATAGTCATCCTTTGTTGGATGCATAGTTTGCGGATATTTTCTCCAATTCTGTAGGTTGTGTGTTTACTCTGTTGTTTGTTTCTTTTGCTGTGCAACTCTTTTGTTTCATTAAGTTCCATTTATCAATTATTGTTTTTGTTGCAATTGCTTTTGAGGTCTTGGGACATAAATTATTTTCTAGGCCAATGTCCAGAAGACTCATTCTTATGTTTTCTTCTAGGATATTTATGGCTTAACCAAGGAGGTGAAAGATCTCTAGTAGGAGAATTATAAAAGACCTGTGAAAGAAATAATAAATCACCCAAACAAATGGAAAAAAAAACATCCTATGCTCATGGATTAGAAGAATCATTATTAAAATGACCACACTACCCAAAGCAATTTACAGATTAAACACAATTCTTATCAAATTACCATCATTTTTCACAGAATTAGAAAAAAATAACCAATTCTAAGATGCATATGGAATGAAAAAAGAGCCTGAATAGCCAAAGCAAGCCTAAGCAAAAAGAACAAAAAACAAAGCCAGAAGCTTCACATTACTTGACTTCAAACTATACCACAAGCCTATAGTAACCAAAACATCATGGTACTGGTAAGGAAATAGACACATAGATCTATGCAACAGAATAGAGAAACCAGAATTAAGCCACACAACTATAACCAACTGATCTTCAACAAAGTCATCAAAACTAAACAACAAGGAATGCACACCTTATTCAACAAATGGTGCTAGGAAAACTGTCTAAACTTATACAGAAGAATGAAACTGAACCCCTATCTTTCACCATATACAAAAATTAACTCAAGATGACATTAAAGATTTAAATGAAAGATTTTTTTTAAATTATTACATTCACTACTTTGGCAGTAGAACAATTTTCTCATAAAAGGATGTAGGCAAATGCAGTGCAAAGAGGCAAAGTCTAAATGAACTGTGTTTTTGTAGGTACACTAAGATTTATCAACACTGTAAGAGATTTATTAATACATATGACTATATGTAATCCATTATTACTTCAGAGCACGCACTTTAAGCTTTTCCACATGTTGTTCTTATAACAGATTGTCTTATATTGAAGTAAAATATGCATTGGGATTTGATATATATTTTTGAAAACAATAAATAAAACTCAAGGAAGAAAGAGTTGGGAAGGAATTGTGATTTAGTCATTTTATTTAAAGGAAGCATGGAGAAGAATATAAAAAAATAAAGGAAAAGCGGTTCAAGAGCTAGAATCTATTCCTCATATATGGCTTTATTATACTTACTGCCTACAACAAAGTAAGAAAAAATTATAGTTGTTTACTATTCACAATGTTAAAGCTTTAGTGAATCCTCTAAGTGAGCAGGTGTTGAAGTAGCAAATAAAGCTACAGTAAAATAACATTTATTTTACTTCATTTATGTAAACAATAATTTTAAGTTCTATGGAAGAGATGCCTGGGTGAGGATGACTTTAGATATTGTTTACAGATACTATATGAACAGAGCACATGGTTGAATAATTAAGATAATCCCTATACATTTGTTTTTACATTATAAATGCCCAAATAAAGAAATGGAAACCAGAATAGCAAAGAGAAAATGAAGAGCCTGAATATGTGCCCAGACGCTCTACAAGACAATGCATTTATAAGACAGAATCTAGTAGAATAAAGAAAATATAATGGAACTGGCTAGGTTAATAAACTTTGTAGAAAACTTTTGAGTTTTTTTTTAATATAAATGTAAATGGACCAGTTCCCTTGAGCAAGTAAAATAATTACATTGCTTGACTAATAAGATGTTACAGCAATTTAAAAAAAGGACAAGAAGGTCCAAATTCTTCTGGAGCTCTATCTTTAATAAATTTGAGATTTTATATTAAGATTACTTAATCTGGAACTTCAAAAGAATCTGAGTTACTTTGTGGTCTTCTGTCTTTTTTTTCAGGTACAGTACTTTGAAGCCTTTAAAAATATATGCCTAGGTTTATGATTCCATCTGAAGATTTCTCATTTATTTTGTCTTAATTAAAAATATTTTTGCATTGTATGGGTACTAAAAGTGAATATTAGAAAGAATGACAGATGAGTGAGGTATAGCTTTCTAAGATATCTTTGGTGATTGTCTACAGTTTCTTCCATAGACACATGGTTCAAAAATGTAGGGTTGATGATGAAGAATATGGACACTGCAAATAAAAGATAAACTGCCAGATTTGTCAGCAGATAAAAAAATCTAAAAGTGGATTTTCTAGTGAGCAGCATGAGCAATCCCTTTCCTAGAGCCAAAATAATTCTGTGTCACTTTCATATTTCTTGCTGAATATATAACTGACATTTGTGACAAGCCAGTGTTTGTGACAGCTAGAAACATGAATCTCCAATGCTATTGTTCCCTATTTATGTGATTAATGGTCAAACAGCAGCAGCAAGAGTCAGAAGACAATTTAACAGTCTACTTTGTCACAAGAGCATTCATTTGTAAGCACTTTCACTTTCTTAAACAAAAATGACAAGCCTTTCTTATCAAAAGATTGACAGCAGCAAAAATGGAAGGTTTACCCAGATCTGACTTAAAAAAAGTGTGTATTTGAAACACTCATGTTTGCTTAACTGTATTTTGTGGTATACTTTGGAATGTACTTCACATTCTTTACTGTAGAGTCATGCAGTTGTCCCATTATTTCAGTAAAATTGCACTTAAAAGACTTTCAACCAATAATATGTGAATAATGGGTGAACTGTATGTGTTTGAACTCTGAAGGTAAAATACCTGTTTATACTATTCTCTGTATTATGGAGGAAAATTTGGGAACATTTATAAATTATTTTCCTCTTATGATATGTGTAAGTGATGTCTAACTTAAGGAGTTTGCCTGTTATATTGTTCTTGTTTACTTTAATCTAGTGAAAATCCAGAAAGTACCAGGATTACTTTTGCAACCAGAAAAGTCCCTGGGGCTTACTCTGTACAGAGAGTAAACAGTCCCATTCAGAAGTCAAACATAAAGCCCAGTAATTCATACATTCATCATGTTATATTTTTAATTTATTAATCAATTAATCTAAAGTTGAATTTACTATTGTAATGATTCAAAAAATTAATCTAAATGCATGAGATAGAATTGATTATCTTTCCCATGAGACAGATACGTCTCATTTATCCAGAGACAAATGATTTGAAATAATCTTTTTAGTCACGTCACCTCCAACATGTTAACATCTATAAGCCTCAGTTTTCTCATCAATAAAATGAAACTAATATAATTATCTCAAATAATGTTAATGATAATTAAAATAAATGGTCCAGATTTCAGGGCAAAATGACCAACTAGATCATCTTGGAACAGCTGACACCAAGGCATCAAAATGACGGGCACATTCCTAAGACGTCTTTCAGAGGGAAAGAATTGTGAGTGGACAGAGGGAAGACACAGAATCTGGGCTGAAGGGGGAGGAAGCTGGGAACCTTACACAGGGCTATCATGCACCAGGACTTGTTCCTGGCCCCCAGTGACTCCAGGGGAATGGGTGAATTGAACTGGCAAGAAGCAAGTCGCTCTTGCCACAGGTCTCTGGAATTCTACCAGGAGGAGACCGCTTGATGACAATGGACACTTGATTTGGCAGAGAACGTTGCTTAGAGAAGTGGCAGGGGCAGCACTTCAGGAAGTGTGAAGCCCAGACGGTTTGGTGTGGGAGCCTGTATAGTGGAGCATATCCAGGGATGCTCATCTCCCTAGGCTCGACCTGCTCCCATAGGAGCCCTAGGGGAACTGTTGGACCTGAACTCTGCAGTGCGGTGTTGTCCATCAGACAAGGCTGGTCTTACCTGAGCACTCTTTGGTCCACTGGCTTCTCCTGGGGCCCTAGTTTGGCTGTGCCTGCTTGAAATGTAGCCTCGGATGCTGCAATTGATTGAAAATATAACCCACAGGAAATTAGGTAATTGAAATATTAGACATATACATTAAAATGACTCTACTTCATATGTGTAATGAAGTAAGATACAATCTAACAGGAATTATGGTAAACAATCCAAAGAAAATTCCATAACTAGAAATATAAAAAGAAATATTATAAAGTCAATACAGAAATTAAGAGTAGAATATTAATTTTAAAATAGTAATATAGGTCAAAAGACTATATGCAAAATTAACCATGTGTTGACAAAATGATTGAAAATGTAGATGAGATATAAAAAATAAAGAGATAAAGCTGAACATATTTTATTGAAATTTTAGAAGAATAGAAAAGAAAATAAAGCACAGCAATATTTTTGGAGCTAAGAATTTTCTGAAACTAATAAAGGTTATCAAGTCACGATAACAGAAACTCTATGAAATGCCAGGAAATAAATACAAATAAAATCATTTTGAAATACAGCACATGAAAATTCCAAAAGTCAGGGAAAACATAAACGTTGTTGAGGTATCAAGGCATAATAATAGATTTACTTTCAAAGGGAAAAAACAGATAAACAGCTGATTTCTCAGCAGAAAAAAAAATACTGGAAGTCAGAAAACACTGAAATGGTATCTTCACAGTGCTGAAGTACAATAGTCCCTTGTCTAAAATTTTATATTCTGTGATATTATCTTACTAAAAAAAATAACAATGTACTGCAAACTGCACCACAGTGTTGTTCATGAGAAGAAACTCAACACAATGAAGAAATAAACAGCAATAGAAAGGCTAAATATATGTGTAGTCTAAGTAAACATTAACTATGTAAGAGTATTGAGTCTTGCAGAATACATATTTTTATATATTACATATATTTCAATATATTAATGTAATATATGAAATATTAATACATATTGGTTTTATATATGACAAACATATGTCATATATAAAATATAAAACAACAATCACATATAAGCCTTGCCAGGGTAAGTGGAGCTAAAGTATTTGGAAATTGATTATGTTGTCCGTGAGTAATGAATGTTGCAACCTATAGTGAAAAACAAAACAAAATGTGGAAGAGTGAAAATTATGCAATCAACAAGCCAATAAAGACAAAGAAATAAAATATAATAAAGTAATAAAATGGTGAAAAAACAACTTAGAACAATCAAGACAAAGAAAAACAAAATAGTTGATAAATTTAAAGTAAACTGTTATATTGAAATGAACTAAATACTGTAAATAATAACAAATACTTTTTCCAATTGGATTAAAATATATATTTCAAAAAGAAAAAATAATATAATCTGGCTCTTCTAAAATATAGAGTCCCAAAATACTAAACTAGAATGATATGAAAATATGTTTTGTACAAATCTTAACGTGATTTAAGTTGATGTAATTTCAGTAAAGGTAGACAAAATAGATTTTAAGGAAAATAATAATTACTAGAAGTAAAGAGCTGTATTTCTAAGAGTAAAGCTTGCATTCATCTGAAAGACATAGTATTCTAAATTTGTATTCTTACCATACATTTGATAACATAGACTCAAAATATGCAAACAAAAATGGAAAGAATTAAAAAATTATATTGACAAGCCAAAAATAGGAATAAAAAAATTAACACCTTTCTCAATAAATGAAGAAACAGGATAAAAATTAATAAGTACATGAAATATTTAAATTAAGCAATTAAAAATTTGTCTCAACATCTACAGGATAATGTGTCAAAAATATTATTTATAAGTACAAATAAAATATTTTCCAAATTGATGAAATGCTGGATCATAAAGTGCTCTTAACAAATTTCAAAAATTAAAAATTATATAGAATATGTTCTCATACCATAGGAAAATAACATTAGAAATCATTGATCTACTTAGAACATCTCTAATTGTTTAGAAATTAAGCTGCATGTTTTTATTTACCTTGAATCAAACAATGAAATTAGAAATTATAAAATATTTTAAAATTTTATGGTGGTAAATATGTAACCTTAAAACTTATTAGATGAAGATATAGCTGATTTAAAAAGATTTATGCAAATAGGTAATGAAGAAATGCTGAAAAACAGTAAGTGAACATTTATCTTAAGAATACAGATACATAAGAAGAAATTAAATTCAGAGACTAGAAGAAACTATAACAAGGTAAGTGAAAAACAATTAGTGATATTGGATAAAATAAAGCAATGGAAAAAATTAAGAATTTAAAAAGTTAATTCTCAGGAAAGGCTAATAAATTTGTTAACAGCCAATCTAGGAGAATTGAGAGTCCATATAATTAATACTGGAAATAAAAATGGTGGTACCACAATTGATAATATAAGACATGAAAGGGTGAGTGTAAAAGAAGAGAAGCAGTAATTTGTCACTTTTGTTAACGCTTGGATAGTACGGATAGTAAAGGAGAATTTTACTCTTTTCTTTCTTTTTTCCTTTCTCTATCTCTCAAGGAATTTACCTCTCAATAAAAATTTTAAACTTCCAACTAAAGAGATTTCCAAGACCAAATAGCTTCACGCATGAATTCTATTATGCATTAAATGAAGAAGAAATAAGAATCTTAAATGAATTCTTAAGATGATAAAAAGATGAAATATTAGCCACTTACTATATGTGGTGAGCACAAACTTGATAGCAAATATTAACCATGATGTGAAGATTACCAAAAATTGAAGTTCAGGTATGAGCACAGATGCAGAAATCCTAAACATAAACAAAATAATAAACACCCTGAATATAATAAAATAATACATCAAGACCAATCTGTATTTTCTCAATTAATACAAGTTTGGTTCAAAATTTTAAAATCAATCAAGGTAATCTCAGTAGATACAGAAAAATAGTTTGTTAAGATTTAACACCCATTAAAAAATTTTAAAGTCTTATCAAACTGAGAATGCAATGGATCTTTTGAATGTAATCATGGGTAGAGAAAGACAAACAAAAATATTGCACTATAATTTTAAAGTATATCATGAGGTCAGCATAGAAACCAGTATTTTCACAATGTTATCGCCATTTCTATTTACCATTGTAGTAGAAGCCCGAGCAAGTGCAACAATGCAAAAAAAGAGTTTTAAAATTTAGATGAAAGATCACATACATAGAAAATTAAAAAGATCATCAATGATGTTGGGCACCTTTTCATATGCCTGCTTGCCATTTGTATGTCTCTTCATTATTTTTTTTTATTTCTTCTAAAAAAAATGGGACACGTGCAGAACGTACAGGTTTGTTACATAGTTGTACATGTGCCATGGGGAAATGCAAATCAAAACTACTCGGAGATATCATCTCATCCCAGTTAAAATTGCTTTTATCCAAATCTCTTGTATAAAAGATAGGCAATAACAAATGCTAGCAAGGATGTGGAGAAAAGGAAACCCTTGTACACCATTGGTTGGAATGTGAATTAGTACAACCACTATAGAGAACAATTTTGAAGTTCCTCAAAAAACTAAAAACTGAGCTACCACATGCACCAGCAATCCCACTGCTGGATATATCCAAAAGAAAGGGCATCAGTATATTGAAGAGATATCTGTACTCCTATGTTATTTGCAACACTGTTTACAATAGATAAGATTTGGAAGCAACCTAAGTGTCCATCAGTAGATAAATGGATCAAGGAAATGTGGTAATTATACACAATGGAGTACTATTCTGCCATAAAAAGAATGAGATCTAGTCATTCGCAACAACATAGATGGAATTGAAGATCATACTGTTAAGTGAAATAAGCCAGGCACAGAAAGACAAACATTGCATATTCTCACTTATTTGTAGGAACTAAAAATCAAAACGATTGAACTCGTGGACACACAGAGTAGAAGGATGGTTACCAGAGACTGGAAAGAGTAGTTGGGGGTTTGGGGGGAGGTGGAAATGGTTAATGGGTACAAAAATATAGTTAGAAAGAATGAGTAAGACCCACTATTGGTAGAACAACAGGGTGACTATAAGCAATAATAACAATTGTACATTTTAAAATAATTTAAAAAGCGTAATTGGATTGTTTGCAACTCAAAGGATAAATGCTTGAATGGATGGATACCCCATTCTCCATGAAGTGCTTATTCCCATTGCATTTCTGTATTAAAACATCTCATCTACCCCGTAAACGTATGCACCTACATGCACCCACAATTAAAAAAAAATTAAAAAGCATCAAATGAAAAAAGAAAATTAAAAAGAAACTACAATGAAAGAACATAATGAATAAGCACATTTAGTGAAGTTCCTAGATAAAAAAATTGACATTCAAAATTATATATGCCAGAAATAAACACTTAGAACATAAATTAAAAATAAAAAGAAATAACATCTACTATAGCTTCAAGATGTTAAAATGGCAACAAATTTTTAAAAAATGGTTAGCAAGATCTCTACATAGAAAATTTAAATTATTGAGAAAAGTTAAAATAATCTAAATAAATGGAGGGATATTCTAGTATTTATGTCACTAAAAACACAATTGCAAAGAGAAACCTAAGGACAGATCCCTGGGATATGCCAGTGATGAGATACTGTGGAGAAGAAAAATCAAGATGGACGGAGGAGAGCCTGAAAGAGGAGAAAATCAGTGTCAACGTGGTGCTGAGAAGCTAAGCAAC